>NW_017363820.1:0-188004 GCF_000001405.40 Homo sapiens | reverse complement strand
GAATTCTGAAAAAAAAAAAAAAAATATATATATATATATATATATTGCAGCAATGCTGATGTTCTCCTTTATTTGCTGTGGTATTAAACCATTGTCAGGCAATCCAGTGAGTGTGTCTATATGCAGCAGTTTTACAAAGGGGCTGCAAATCCTTTGACATTCATCACATCAGAAATTAAAAGATAATTTCAAGAGATCTCTTGTATATCATGGTGACTATAGTTAATAACAGTGTAGAGAGTACTTGAAAATCACTAAAAACAGTAGATTTGAAGTGTTCTCACCACAAAAAAAAAGTATGTGAGGTGATGCATATGTTAATTAGCTTATTTAGCCATTCTGCAATGGATACATATTTCAAAACATCATGTTGTACAACATAAATACATAATTTTTGTCGATTAAAAATTAATTAATCAATTATTTAAAAGTTGAGGGCTTAAATTTTTTCACCTTGAATCAGGAATGAACTGTGGCTGCCTGGACCAGTTGAGTAGGTCAGAAATGATGCTTTGTGGCCATAGTGAGTCCCTGTTTTTATTTATAGTAAAATTCACTTAATAAAATCCAGCAAAGCAAGAGGCAGATGTAAGAAATCAGAAAGGAGAAGCTTTGATAAATAAACTATTATTAAGGAGTCATCCATTTGAATAAGCAATAGAGATAAACTACCATAGATTTACAAAATGTTTTAAATCTTACAAATGCAACTTTACTTCCTTGGGCCACATGTTTTTGGGGTGCTTTCTCTTGGCATGCAGTCACCCAGCCTTCATTCACTGAGAAATCCCAGCCCCATGGTGAAGCCACATGTTTGTATCTGGTCAACCATCCCAGCTGAACCCTGGTTTCAGTTGACTCCGTCCAGGCAGTCAGCAAGGCACGTGAGCAAAGAAGCCATCCTGAATACAGACCAAGATGTTCTATCCTAAGTGCTGTTCCATCCTCTACCTGTTGGCCTCAGCCCCAAGAGAAACAAACCACCGGCTCCTTACACTTTGTCCAAACTTCTCTTCCTAAGAAACCACAGTCACAATTAAAGCAAGACTTTCAACATTGAAATTTAGACCGGCACATCTACGAATTCTGTCTCAGAAAATCAGCCCTGAATTGCCAATTTGTGCCTTTTTCACCACCTTCCATCTATACAACAAGGCTGTACCTTCTCTAACAAACATCATTAGAAGAATAATCACACACACACACACACACACACACACACACACGCATACACCAAGTGGGAGCCCAACTGGGGAGTCCCTGCTTGTGGCAAATTGCCAGTGGCCCCAACGTAAAGCATCACAGTCTTCCAGTCAGGTTTCCTTATCAGGGAGGAAGTCACAATAGACAGTGACCCAGGACCTCCAGCAGGCCTAGGGTTTCCCCTGAAGCCAAGATGACCATGAGCACAGCCAGATTCTCTGAGTGGTGATCCCGTCTCCAAGGTGTGTTGTCAGTTTCAGTCATTTTCATGAGTCAGTAACAGCTTAGTAGACAGATGGGAATTAAGGTGTGGATTCCATTGTGATAAATTAGCTATAATGCAAAAAGAGACAGAGAGAGAGAGATTCATATTTGTAAATAAGCCCTAAATCTTCATATATGACTCTGTGTGTTATGTTTCTACAGCATGAAGACTTGCTTTTCTGTGAATAATAAAACAAAGTGGCTAAAGTATTTCTGTGATAAAATTGCTAATATTCATTATATATATGGCTCATTATTTACCTTTCTATACTGCTTTTCCTTAATGCCTAATCGTACTTCTCCTCCTTTTCAAAAAATCCTAATTGACTAACACACTAATAAAAGAAAATAAGAAATAAAAATAAAATGTTTGTTATTTCTTTTCAGGTAGGTAATTTCAGTTAGGAAAAAAAGTCATATTATATTAAGGACAACATCCTAAACCATGTGTCAAGAGCATTGATTAAATTAAATGGTTTCTGCATGTGGATGCTATACATCAGTAATTTTAGGTAAATACTTGTTGTGTTGAGGACAGAATGCTTTGTGCATATTTGTTTTGCCAAAGCAAATCATTCTGAATAGCAATAACCTTGGATGAGATTTGTTTATAGACCATATGAGGAAAATTATTGTCTATGATCTTTAATCTTTTTTAATATCCATTCATATTTTGGCCACTCAGCAGTATAATCAATACATAAGAAATAGTACACTTCAAACAAAATCTATACTACATATTTACTTTTACACACACACACACACACACACACACACCCCTTCCAGTTAATGTTAGATCTACATGAACAAAACATGTTAAGCTGTTCTGTGAACTGTGCTGTAAATAAATTCAACATATTGTATGTAGAATAGCATCTTCTGATAGTTACTTTTAAGAAAATTATTAGATCAAAATGGAAAGCCTGGAAAAATGAAAGCCTCCACTTTCAATTATAGAAAATTATCTATAAAAAATAATCATCACTCATATATTTTAAAACAGATCAAAGGAATAAGCAAGTAAATTTAAGAGATATCCATGCCTTATCAAAAAAATCACTACCTTCTAGTTCATAACCTACATATAAGCATAAATTGTGGAATAGATCTTTAAAGTATATCTTACATGACATTATTATCATCTATGTTTTCACTATCAGATTTCGATGTCTCCTAAGTTTACAGAAACTCTTAATAATGCATTTCTTATCACTAAAGTTCTTATTTAAAAGGTAACCAATGAATACAATATGAACTTCTCTGGAACACTGATCTCTGCATTCAGTCATAGCAATGACACCTGAATTCAGAGTATAAATTCATACCAACCACAAATGTTCTCTTTATTTAAAAACACATTTAATATGAAAACTCAGTAGAGTTATTTGTAATGTAGGCACCAATGTAATAAAATATTTGATAATGTCAGGGTGACAGTTTGCATTTTTCATTTTCCATCTACATTTATATCTCAAAATATGGTGTTTTCTCTCTAGGAAGCCGACAGTTAGGAACAGTAGAAACATCCCAACAGAAGGCAAATGTGCAATGTGTCCTTTTTGTTCATCTGCAAGAACTGTGTTTGGCAAAAATATATAGAACTCAGCATAATATAAAATATCTTCAACTCTCTACCAAGTTTATGTTTTTCCTTTAGCTCATTTGTTTCACTCTTTAATACTAAATAATATAAATTAGCAATGCTATGCCATTTAAATAGTGTATATGTTTATGCTTTTAACGAAACTGATGGGCTGGGCACAGTGGCTGACACCTATAATCCCAACACTTTGGGAGGCCGAGGTGGGTGGATCTCTGGAGCTCAGGAGTTCAAGTCCAGCCTGGGCAAGATGGAGAAACCCTGTTTCTACAAAAAATACAAAAATTAGCCAGGTGTGTTGGTGCACACCTGTAGTCCCAGCTACTTGGGAGGTTAAGGTAGGAGGAAAGCTTGGGCCCAGGAGGTGGAGGTTGCAGTAAGCTGAGATCATGCCACTGCACTCCAGCCTCAGTAACAGAGCCAGACCTTATCTCAAAAGAAGAAAGAAAGAGAGAAAGAAAGAAAGAAAGAAAAAGAAAGAAAGAAAGAAAAGAGGGCGGGAGGGAGGGAAAGAAAGAAAGAAAGAAAGAAAGAAAGAAAGAAAGAAAGAAAGAAAGAAAGAAAAAGAAAGAAAGAAAGAAAGGGAGGGAGGGAGGGAGGGAGGGGGGAGGGAGGGAAAGAAAGAGAGAAAGAAAGAAGAAAGAAAGAAAGAAAAAGAAAGAAAGAAAGAAAGAAAGAAAGAAAGAAAGAAAGAAAGAAAGAAAGAAAGAAAAGAAAGAAAGAGATGCAGGCAACCCCCTAATTTGGGGCTTAGCCTCGGAAGTTTCTTGGCTTTGCCCAGGAAAGAATTCAAAGGTGAGCCAGTGGTGTTAGACAGCAATTATTTTGAGGTGGCAGTGTGCCGCAGCAGCAGAAGTACTGCCTCTTGCAGAGAAGGGCTACCCCATAGGCAGTGTGCCCACAGTAACAGCTCAGAGGCCATTCTGTAGTCATATTTATACCCACTCTTAATAACATGCAAATTAAGGGGAGTTTATGCAGAAATTTCTAGAAAAAGGGTGGTAACTTCCAGGTTGTTGGGTTGTTGCCATGGAAAGGAGTGGTAACCCCTGGGTGTTGTTATGGCAATGATAAACCGACATTGTTCACTGGTGGACATGTCTTAAGGAGAGCCGTTTCCACTTTGTTCCTGTTTTAACTAGTCCTCAATTCGGTCTGGTGTCTAAGCCCTTCCTCTAGAGTTGAGTCCTGCCTCCTACCTCTTTGTTTCTGAGACTGAAAACACAGTACTGAGACATATCCTCACCATTTTTATATCTGGGCTAGATATTGACCTGGGGAAAGATTTATTGACAATTGTAACGCTGAAGATGCTTTAGGAATTACAAAGGAAGCTTCTAGATGAGAGGAACCTGGGGTGAGATTTAGGATTTGCACCTCAGCTGTGCTGACTGCATTTTCTCTGATCTTCATTCATAATCTCCCATCTCCAGCTTCATCCTAATCCAACAGATATTCCCTTTGCACATGACTAGGTTTCAACTCCAGAATCTTCTCTTTTGACTCTACTAGTGGTATTGCCAGGAGCTCGAATATATCACCTTCCTCTCAGAGATGTGCTTGGTGTCCTGATCAATAAATTATCTTTTAACAACTAGCCATGTCCATAGGAAAAACCATAATGGAAGTCAAAATCCCTCTGAAGAGCCTGAAACATCAGAGATCCCCAGGAATCTGGTGTTGGAGAGCATTTCTATCTGAGTCATTTCTTTAAACAATTACATCAACATCCTTCATTCCATGCTAACATTTTCTCCATGGAGGGAGGAAAAGAAAATCTTCCACTAATGGTCAAAGAACTATTCCAAGATACTATGTATTTTCTTTTTGTTTTCTAATGTGAATGATGGCTTTTTTGTTCAATTACATTATCATATCAAAATGCAAGTGATTATCAATATGGACTATAATTTAGTAGAGGGGGCACTTCGAGGAAGGAATTGTTACTTGGGGCAGGGGAGAGAGATACCTGGTAAGAGTGGGCATCCTTTGGGATTTGTCACTGAAAACAAAGAAACAAACTGAAAAAACAAGAAGTAAAAAGTGTCAGTCCTATGAAACCAAAAGTACATGCCAGAACTTGTGCTCTTTTTATCAAACAAAACAACAGAAGAGAACACAACACAATAAAATAAACCAAAAAAAGCCGTCTCCTAGGGCAACTTAATTATATGGACACGAGAGGGTGTCCGTGAATTGAAAAATCTAGTAAGCCATAAATAGCCCCTCACCAGTCCCTCATAAGTCAAAACACAATTTTCCTGATGCTACAGGAAAATTGCACACTGAAAAAGAAACAGGAAAAAAAAGGATAGAATTCACTGGGAACTACTATTAAAATAAAAACCAAAGTAAAACTCAAAAATTTTTAGTTAAAGAAGATGCTTCACACAATACCCAACAAAGTAAAGAAAAACTTTGGTACAGAACAATAATACCAATAATGGTTCTTTCCTCAAGTGTTTCTTGATTAGAAGTGCATAGATAAAACATATAAACAAAAACCCCGTGGAGAAAAAAAGTATTAGTTATAACCAAAATCACTCACTCAATATCACAAAAAATAACACAAGTATTTTTATAAATTTTATTCCTTTGGAATTGATACAGATTTACTTGGTCATCATCAATTTTCATAATTTTTAAAAATGTAACTGCAGATTAAGTATATTACCTATTACTGAAGGGTGCATTTTGTATGTCCCCATAAGGGCATCTCGCTGATGAATAGATTATTTGTTTCTTTTTGTATTATTTTGTCCCTTTGATAGTATGACTCTATCTCTTTCTCCTTGCATATCTTAAACATTTGTGTTATGAAAATTAGTTGCCCTCTTATTTAAAGCATAGATATTCATAAATATGTCTTTAGTGTTAATTGGAAGCTTTAGTATTACACTTATTTCCTTTTATCACTGGTGTTTTGGAACCTAAATTTTATCTTTTCTTATATCACAATTAAAGCAGAAATTGATGAGAGCAGTTAAGCCATGTACTATACAACAAAGTAACTGTTGGCACTTGGAAACAATGAAAAATATGGACAAACAGTTACATTTTTAAAAATAGGAATAAGGTACAGATACAAAAATTAAGAAAGAGCAAGTAGAAAAAAGACTACTGAAACAAACAGAAAATTGAGACATCATGAGAGATTGATTTGTATAACTTACTGCAAATATGCTTGAAAACTTGCATGAAATATCTAATAAAAAGTAGCTATTTACCAAATGCAAATCATGTACAAAAAGAATCCTTCAACAAAACAATTTCCATTTAAATCATAGAAAAATTTCAAACTAGTTATCCTCCAAAAAGGCACTTGGCTCAATGGTTTTATAGATTTACTCCAAAGCTTCAAATAATTGACAATCCTAATATTCCCTATAAAAAGTCCTAGTCAAAGAAAATGCAATATTTATATGAATTAAATATGACATATATTCCTAAACTTGATTTTCAAAAAAAAAAAAAAAAAAAAAAGGCATAAATTTGAAGTCCGGTAGTGTGATGCCTCCAGCTTTGTTCTTTTTGCTTAGGATTGTCTTGGCTATATGGGCTCTTTTTTGGTTCCATATGAATTTTAAAATAGTGTTTTCTAATTCTGTGAAGAATGTCAATGGTAGTTTAATAGGAATAGCATTGAATCTACAAACTGCTTTGGGCAGTGTGGCCGTTTTAACGATATTGATTCTTCCTATCCATGATCATGGAATGTTTTTTCCAATTTGTTAAATAATATGAGGGTACATTTTCTTGAGTGTCTATGTAACGTGACATATCATCATCGTTGTCATCATCTTAATCATCATTATGATCATGATGATGATGATCATCATTATCACCACCACCATCAACATCATCTTCATCATCACCATCATCATCATCACCATAATCAACACCATCATTACATCATCATCATTTTCTTCATCACCATCATAATCTTCATCACCTCGCCATCATCATGGTCAACACCCTCATCACCAACATCATTATCATATTCATCATCATCATCACTACCATTATCATCATCTTCATCATAACCATCATCACCATTATCACCATCATCATCACTCTCATCACCATCACCACAATCATCATCATTATCATCATCACCATCAACATCATCATCACCATCATTATCATATCACCATCACCATCACCATCCTCATTATCATCAACACTATCATCACGATCTCCACCATCATCATCATTATCTTTATCATCATCATTATCTCCATCATCATCATCATATTGTCATATACTACATATTACTGGCCAATGGAAATTGAACCAAAAAATTCATTTATGAGAAGGGGAAATTCTTGCTTAATGTGACAGTTATGCTACTAAATGCCAAAATTGCATATCAAAGGTAATTTTGAAATGTCCCATTAGTGCTAGTTTCTTCACTTGTGAAACAGTGTAGCTTTGTTTACAGATATAGGCCAGTAGGCAGTAGAGGACTTAAGTTCATAAAACTAAGAGCAATAATTGATATTAAAATTAGTCCAATTTATGCCATTAATTATTTCATAGAAAACTAAATTAACTGAGAACTGAAATATTTCACTCTGTCATCCAGCCAAAAAGGAGTGAATGTAATACCTATTGTTAGTTTCGTTTGATGCAGTTTCATCACATTGCCTACAAAACCAAATTCAGTGACTTAAATCATTTAAATCACAGTAAACTACAGTGGACTATATTCAAATCCTCAAATATACATGTACAAAAGGTTTATCTTTCAAATTCATTACTCACAGAATTCTTTTGAAAGGCGAGTCAATCATCTCCTTTGGAAACTTCTCTGACCAGCCACACTGTATACTGAACTGCTCCCAAGTTCACAATCCCAAAGACAGAGATCACTCATCTCTGAAGCATGAGCTGATTAAAGAAAATGATATATTTGTTGTTAACTCTGCTCTCAGCACTCCTACAGTACTTTCAATCAGCAGTGATCAAAAGCTGAAATTCAGTGCAACTTAGGGGCACAGTTTCATGGGCACGGTTGTATCTTATTGGAGCTTAGTGAAAAGTGCTTTTTGATGTTACAATCTATTAAAATAGGAAAAGTAGACTTTTTTCTAGGTCAGATGTTATGTACTTACAGCAAGGTAACTAGTGTGCCTGTACAGATGGCACGATAAATCATTGCATTAATATCTTGGGCTGTAATACTCTGAGATCATGAACAATTTCCCAAGAGCTATTTTCTTAATAATGTCCATTTTAATTATCTTTTCAATTAAAATCATGATGTTGTATGTGATAATGGCATGAAAAAATTAAACAAGTTGCAATACAGTGCCAAATTTGAAAAAAAGTCATCATTTCTCAAAGTTCATTTAAAAATTATTTAAATAAGTTTATGCATTTAAACAATTTTTACAAGGCACAGGATTCCTATTATCAGTTTCACTGAATGAGTTTTATCAGTATCCCATATAAAATACAGCAATCTGCCAATTTTTTTACACATGTATCATTTTTAAACAAAATTATCATGAATAAATATAGAATTGGATGTTTTCTGTTAATATTCCAATAAGAAGCAAATCTTGAATATAATCATTAGTTTATTTTTTTTTTCATTTCCAGAATGGTAAGTCGTCCTTGTCTTTACTTGACAAGATCATGCATGGCAAGAGGAAAAAAATCTTAAAGTCTTTTGAAAACTTCATTTTAAAGTAGTACACAGAATGCTTGTATGGCCACAGTGCTAAATGGATGACCTTGGACAAGTTCTTTATCTTTTTAATGCCTCATTTTCCTGGAAAATAAGATGATTTCAATGGTTGCTTTTAGTACAATGAAGCTACACTTCATGCAGAAGGAGAAGAAACCTAATGGACCCTGTGCATTAGTATTTACTTCAAGATCTAAAGCAACAGAGCATGAAAATGATGTTCCTGCGTTAACATTTTATTATCTGCAGACACCAGGTAGCTTCAGGTGCCTGTCAATTACAGAAATTTGGAAGCTAATGAATCAATAGTCAACACAGGGCTGGTAACTCTCCGAGTTTAATAGTTACATTCAAACATTCATGTGAGAAATAATTAACCTGTTCTACCTAATAGATCGTTTTTTTCAACACAGGTGGCTATTTTTATTTTCTATGTTCATCTTTAGCAAGGGAGTTTATACAGTGGGAACATACTGTCAATTGCACCCAGCAGTTGAACGCCGGCATAATAAGAAATGTTACAATGACGTAGATGTCAGGGCTCTATATTTGCATAATGTGCCAAAGTGTCAAATCATCCGTGGGTTTGTTTGTTTGTGTTAGGTTTGTGTTGTTGTTGTTGGTTGGTTGGCTGGTTTTGAAACAGGGTCTTGCTCTGTCACCCAGGCTGGAGTACGGTGGCACCATTGTGGCTCACTGTAGCCTTAAACTCCTGGGCTCAAGCCATCCTCCCACCTCAGCCTCCCAAGTAGCTGGGACCAGAGGCACACGCCACCATGCCTGACCAATATTTTTTTATTTTTTACAGAAATGGGGTTTCACTGTGTTGCTCAGGCTGATCCATGGGATTTTTAAAATAAAAATCCTCTTAAATAAAAATTAACCTTATATCATAATTTTAAATATAAAAATATCTATCTAGAATGTATGCATAGATTTCTTACCAGCCTTAAATGTATCAGTATGTCAGACTGCGATGTGTTCTCTATAATTGAGTGGCTGGTTGACTAATATATAGTTGGTGATGATTAAATAATTTATTCTGGAAGATCAGCCTCATGCCTTTTAATCAGGCATGCACACAGTCATAGATTCATATATTAAAGGAGATAGAACAATTATACATAGCATCACTTGAAATCCATAGCTCAATCCCTAAAAATGTATTAAGATTTTTTGACAAACAAATATGCCAAATGATAAATATATATGGGTAGATTACCAATTCTAATATTTAAAATAGCTTTGTAGTCATGCTTACTACATGGCAAATTTTAAGCATCATTCTAGTTCCCATTGTTTTTATATTTGAATTCAAATATTATTTCTACATCTGCACATTACAATTATTCAATAGGACCATTCATTTCCTATTTCAAATTTTTACAAATAGTGGTTAATTTTTTATATTCCAAACTTCTTCGCCATCCATAAATTCCAGGTACTAAACTCACCATCCATAAACACCAGGTACTAAATAACAGGTAGTAGGTACACTACTATCTTCCTGCACAAATTAATTCACCTTAGTGAGCACATGGGGATTGGTGAGTATGCCTGTGTGCCCATGTGTTTTAACTTGTCTGTACTTTCTGAATTTGCACACAATCCTGTCTAATTTTCCCATTGTCTCGATTGGATAATTTTTCTCAAAGAGTTGAAATGCTGTTATTTACGTTTATTTATAGAATAAGTCAAGGTGGACAAGCAAAATTGCCTACCCCCAATTTCCCTTCTCTTAATTTTTACTAACGTTTGTGTGAAGTATGTGCCCATACACATACAAAGAATACTATTCACCGGACTGTCTCCATAGTTGCATCCTCTGTGATAGGCTCTGTCTCTATTTTATTAACGTGGAGGGTGAGCAATTTGAGTTCACACTTTTTTATATTTAAAAATGCACTTTACATAGAAACACATTGTCTTTTGGAATACGGTGTGGTTAAACAAGCAAACTACAATCCCCAAATCTCAGCTTTCGGTCTCAGTTTTTATGGATCTTTCTGGAAAGAAACTTGCCAAGTCTGTAGTTTTTCTCTTCCATTATCTACAGTATATTTCATTTACCACTCTTTAGATGCCCTCTACATTTTAGAGTAACTCACTAGAACAGTGATTCTCAAATGTTAGCGTGGATAAGAACATTATGGAAAGCTTTTTAATACGCGGATTTCTACAAAACCTTCTGATGCAGAAGGTCCAGGTTGGGTCCATATATTTTATTTTATTTTTGTTTTATTTTGTTGTAAACTGATAATTTGTAATTATATAAATGAATGAGATATGAAGTATTGTTCAATGTAGAATAATTAAATCAAACCAGTTAATATATCCTAACATTTTTGTGGTGAGAACATTTACAGTTTACTCTTTTATCAATTTTGAAGTGTAAAATACTCCATCATTAACTATATTCACCACAATTTGTAATATTAATAGAACTCAAAGAGGGGAAAAGATTCCTTCTATCTATCTGAGATTTTGTATCCTTTCACCAAAGCTTTCATTTCCCCCACCCCGGCCTCCAAAATTGCCATTGTATTCTCTGCTTCTAAGAATGTGATGTCTTTACATTTCACATACATTTAATTTCTAACACATCCCTGGGTTTATTACTCTGCTGAGCTGCAAACCACACTTGGATTATGAGAAGGAGGACTGAGTCATATTTCTTGTTAAAAAGTTAATCCCTAAAGATTCATACCATGGCAAACGCACTAAATACTAGCTTATGCCACAACATGAATAGATCAGCTTGCTAAATCTATAGACGCAGACTAATGCTTAACTTTCTTTGGCCAATCCTTTGTTTTCACTCAAGTTGTTTCTTCCACATTTTTGGCTCACGATAGAATGAAAGTATTTACAATAAACTCAGGAAGATGCAATTTTGCTATAAGATGAAGACAGGCAAATGAGAAAAGAAGAGTAAATATGCTAAAATACAATCTGTCTATTCATCACATCCTTTTTAAATAAGACTTTCAAGTTCTCATCCAAAAAGGACAAAGTGGAAGGTTTATGGGTTTGTGACATTGCAATTGGGATTCTATAGGGCAAAGGAAGTAATTTCTGAATATCCTTAGGCACTCTCCTTGAGAAATCATTTTCTTAACCTTTTTCTGAAGCTAAGAATTTTGACATGGCATATATATTGACTTGGGACAGGACTTTTTTTTAAGTCATGTTATGCACTTATTTGGAAGCTTTCAAAGTCCATAAAAATATAGATATTCAAATAAAGACTTATTTACATAATTTGTGTTGGATTATTTAGAACTTCTGCTATTTTTCTCTTCATAATAACTCTTCACTACTTGTAGAAATGATTGCTGAAATCTGGTCTTCAAGTAATTTGAACATTGAAAAACATTTAACATTTTTACAGTCCTAGTTATGTTTGCGAAATAAAGAAACAATGGAAACAACAATGACCTCTTCTTTCTGGCTTGACATTTGTTCAGCTCACACCATCTGCATGGTCTGGATATAGAAAAAGGTAGACCTGAGGTCATTGAAAAACCACAGAAAAAATGGCAACTACCTTGAAAAAGGAAAACATGGCAACTGATTTCTACACACACACACACATACACACACACACACACACACACACACATCTGCCTACGTTATCTATTGATAATTGCAAATTAACTTACTGTGTCAAATTAAAATAAAGTTTTGGTCAACCAAATGCTTGAACTGAATCCACTAGGGAGACATGAGGGGGGATGATTTCCCAAGAGACCTGGTGGATGTGGCTGGATTACATCATAGTGCTCTGTTTTCAGTATGCACCTTCATGCAGATCTTTCAAACAAACTGATTTCACAGACCACCATCAACGGTGGTCAGTGGAGATCAATACTGGCCAAACTTTGGAAATAAAATAGTAACGGAACTTAGAACCTAGCGATATGAGTTTGCTAGGGCTGCCGTAACAAAGTCCCACAGACTGCGCAGCCTAAACAAAAGACATTTATTCCCCCACCATCCTGGAGGCCAGGAATTTGAGATCAAGGTGTCACAGGGCTGATCCCTCCTGAGGCTGTTCTCCTTGGTTTATAGACGCCGTCTTCTCCCCGTGTCCTCACATGGTTGTCTTTCTGTGTGTCTGTGTCCTAATTTCTTCTTATAAGTCCTATTGGACCAGGGCCCACCCTAATGGCCTCATTATACTTTAATTGTCACTTTAAGGGCCCTATCTCCAAATACAGTCCCTTTCTGAGGTACTGGGGGTTAGGACTTTAATATGTGTATTTTGTGTAGACACTGCTCACATGCAAATGAAAGCAAACTAATGCCAAACAATTGGTGAAATGCCAACATTTTTATCAAACACCATGGGTTAGATATACCACTGGTGAAAACGTACTATGTATATATAGAGACAGAGAGTTTAGGCTGCACAGTCTGTGGGACTTTGTTATGGCAGCCCTAGCAAACTCATATATAGCTAGGTTCTAAGTTCCATTACTATTTTATTTCCAAAGTTTGGCCAGTATTGATCTCCAGTGGCCACCATTGATGGTGGTCTGTGAAATCAGTTTCTTTGAAAGATCTGCATGAAGATGCATACTGAAAACATATACACACACACACACACACACACACACACACACATACACACACCATGGAACACTATGCAGCCATAAAAAAGAATGAGATCATATCCTTTGCAGAAACATGGATGGAGCGGAAGGCCATTATCCTTAGCAAACTAACACAGGAACAGAAAACCAAATGCTGCCTGTTGTCACTTTTAAGTGGGAGCTGAATGATGAGAACACATGGACACATGGGGGTGAACAACACACACTGGGGCCATCGGAGGGTGGAAGGTTGAGGAGGGAGAGGCTCAGGATATTAATGGGTACTAGGGTGATACCTGGCTGATGAAATAATCTGTACAACAAACCCCATGACACACTTTTACCTGTGTAACAAACCTCCACATGTACCCGTGAACCTAAAAGTTAAAAAAAAGAAAGAAAACGTACAATATAAATTTTATTTTTAAGTTTTTTCCTATTTTAGTAACTTTTAGTAAATAAAGCTCAACAGCAGACTTCACTTATTTTTATGATGTTGGTAGTAATATTTTCTCCTTCATCCTGTTTGCCTGTTTCCATATCTTTCCCCAGATCATACCCACTTTTAGCATTATTACCAAAATAATATAATTGAACACAAATCTTTTCTAACAAGTAGAGAAGGCCCATCCAGGCCCATCCTCCCATCTTTCCATCCTTCTCTATCTGCTCCCAGACTCCCCATTTCAAACTTCTATTGTTCATTGTCAAATGCTTTAATAAACTTTCCATGTGCTAGTTTTCAATTTACTTTCAATTCTGTAACCAACCCATTCCAAATTCCACAATAGAGAAAGAAATATCTGGGTACTTTCTATTTCCCAATTTAACCTCTATGCCAGCAAGATTAGGACAGGTCCAGAGGTGGGCTTTTCAGTGGGAATGACCTTCTAAACACCAATGAGTGAGTTACAAATGGAGACTTTCCTGTAAAAACTTTTAAAACATTGCTGTATTACCACTGGCAAATTAATCTCAATATCATGTAATATTTAACATATTTTTCACGAAACAGGATTTGGGAAATAGGAAATACCTGCATTCTCATTAACAATATAGTACTTTTTGTTTAACTTTGAAGTTCAGGGGTGCATGTGCAGGTTTGTTACACAGGTAAACTTGTGTTATGGGGGTTTTTTATACAGATTATTTCATCACCCAGGTATTAAGCTTAGTACACATTAGTTGTTTTTCCTAATCCTCTCCCTCCTCCCACCCTCCACCCTCCAATAGGCCCCAATGTCTGTTGTTCCACTCTATGTGTCCATGTGTTCTCATTATGTAGCTCCCACTTATAAGTGAGAACATGCAGAATTTGGTTTTCTGTTCCTGTGTTACTTTGCTAAGGATAATGGTTTACAGGCTCCATTCATGTTCCTACAAAGGATATGATCTCCTTCTTTTTTATGGCTGCATAAGGATAATGGCCTCCAGGTCCAGGCACACTCCTGCGAAGAACATGATCTTGTTCTTTTGTATGGCTGCATAGTATTCATATTGGGTTTGATATCAGAAATACATGCCTTGCACATACTTTTTGTTTATTTAATTACCACAGAAAACTCAATGACATAGATTCTGATTACATCTATTGTAGTATCCTGCAACTTACGCTGTTTTAAAAAATTGTTCATCATTCCCACGTTTTACTTTAAAACTTTGCAGAGAAGGCTCAGCACGGTGGCTCATGCCTGTAATCTCAGCACTTTGGGCGGCCCAGGTGGGTGTATCACCAGGGGTCAGGAGCTGGAGACTAGCCTGGCCAACATGGTGAAACCTTGTCTCTACTAAAAAACACAAAAAACTTAGCCAGGTGTAGTGGTGTGTGCCTATAATCCCAGCTACTCAGGAGGCTGAGGCAGGAGAATCACTTGAACCCAGGAAGTAGAGGCTACAGTGAGCTGAGATCGTGCCATTGCACTCCAGCCTGGGCCACAGAGCAAGACCGTCTCAAAACAAACAAACAAGCGAACAACAGCAACAACAAAACTTTAAAGAGAGAATGAAAAGTAACCACCGTTGATAATTTTCCTCCTCACCATTAGGCATGATTATTGCAATTGTCTCTTCATCTAGGATATAGAAGTCAAAAACATACAAATCACCAAATTATTAGTAAAATTGCAGGAATTACAGACATCTGTTCTTTGCACATCCCAGGCAGAGAAACTGCATCTCTACGGTTTCCAACTCATTTATCTAGAGTTGTTATGATAAATTTTCCCAAATGATCCCAAATTGCTGGTCCACAAATTCCTTTAATAATACATTTAAACCTCAAATGTAAATGCAATGTATTTGTATGTAATAGTTTGAGTAATCGAGGTCCACCACAAAAGATACCAGTGCCTATTTTAAAAACATTTTAATAACGTACTTAACAAAAGAAAATGAATGCTTTAGCAAAAAAAAAAAAGAAAGAAGAAAAAAGAAAAAAAAAGATAAACAAAGAAAAACCAGGTTCAAATCGCTGTGTTTGGACAGCATCCCATTTTTGCATGTTTCGGGAGCAGTGTACAGCTTTTTTGCACCCTCAATTTGTCCAATGTATTTAATGGCTCTGCCAATCTAGGAAGCAGAGAATCACCCAGAGCAGGAACGTCCTTGACTTGGTCATTTAATTATAGACAATTATAGACCATTTTTGCTGCTTCACAGGTTTGAGTAAGCAGCGTGCAATGATGTGATAGTGATTATTAAATGCTTAAATAACACGCTTATAATTCTGATTTGGGGGATGATTTTTCTGTCTTATATAGTGTATATTGACCCTGCCTGTAGATGGCAATGTTGTTCAAAAGACAACAACATCACCTTCTATCTATTGCAGATTCGCTGTGCATTATACACAGGTGAAGTGATGTTGTGTCTCAGATGTAATATTAAATACATATATTACCTTAATATACTTGGGGAGTTAGCTTGCGGGAAACGGAAACAGATGGAAAAGATGGAATAAAACTGGCAAAATCCTGATAATTGTTGGGACTTGGTAAAATAAACTTAATAGACAGAAAAATGCTAGATATTTCCTTTCTCCCACCCTCCAATCTCAAGTAGGCCCCAGAGTTTCCCTATAAAACAAACATGCACATAGACCCCTGAACCTAAAATGAAAGTTAAAAGAAAAATAAATAAGTAAAATAAAATGTGCACCTCTTTTCCTTAAAAAATAAAATAAAACAAAAATGCTAGATAGATAGATGATGGATAGACATTTTGTGTGGTTGAAGTGGGCAGAGATAAAACGTGTGGATCCAATTCCCTGTGACTTAATAGATGTTTTTGTTTATTTTATTTTGTTGATGTCGAAATCAATATGTTGCAAAAGAAACGTGTTTTCCCACTGTTCACCGATTTAGTGTCTGCTTTTGAATTTGTATAAAAACAAGCGATGGTTGCTAAGCTGAGGAAACTCTAGAACATGTTCTATGTTAAAGTTCACTAGAAAATAGTGATAAATAACTTGGCTTTAGCTATGAAGATGGTGGTTTTATTTAAAATTTTAAGTCAGTAAATCACTGAGCTACAACACAGTGCGTGGCACAGAACTGCAGAAGGGCCCAGCACATATTTCTTGGACACCTGGATTAGGGAAATACTTTGGAAGTGGTTTGTGAAATGCACCAAGTATGATGTCATGAGCACACGGGCTCGGAGAGTGGAGATAAGGGATTTGAGTGGTGTGCTCATGCACCGCTATGCACCACAGTTCTGCAACATCTACAGATGAGTCCATCCTAGTGAGTAGAAGTGGGTCAAGCATCTGAGAACCTCAAATTGCTCTTTCTGTGTGTGCTTTTAAAGTGCACAACAGCATGGGACAGACTGTCTGTCAAAAATTGCTGAACATGAATATCCTTTGCTTCTTGTATATGAAAATGAAAAAGCAAAATTTTGTAGCACTGCATGGATGATATGGATGTGTGTGTGCATGTGCACAAATTATATGTATGTGTGTGAGTGTGTATGTGCATACACAAGCTTATGTGTCTCTGTGACATCCCTGCAAATCAAGTCAAAAAGATCATATTATAATCCTGTCATTCTACAAATTATTTATAATGTGTGAATTTTTCTTTGTTATGCTCTGAATTCTGCCTATCCCCTCAAAATTTGTATGTCCAAGCTTTAACCCCTAGGACCTCAGAATGTGACTATTTTTAAAGACAGGGTTTTTTGTTTTTTGATTTTTTGAGACAGAGTTTCACTCTTGTTGCCCAGGCTGGAGTGCAATGGCGCAATCTCGGCTCACAGCAACAACCTCCTGGATTCAAGCGATTCTCCTGCCTCAGCCTCCCAAGTAACTGGGATTACAGGCACTCACCACCATGCCCAGCTAATTTTGTATTTTTAGTAGAGACGGGGTTTCTCCATGTTGGTCACGCTGAAGACAGGGTCTTTAAAGAGGTGATTAAGGTACAGGGAGATCACTAAGGTGAGCTCTGATCCAGTAGCACTGGTGTCCTTGTAAGAAGAGGAGATGAGGTTACAGACACACACAGAGGTACAAACAGGTGAGGACTCAGGGAGAAGACGGCATCTACAAGCCCAGGAGAGAGGCCTCAGGAGTAACCAGCCCTGCCCACACCTTGATCTCAGTCTTCCAGCCTCCAGGGCTGTGAGAGAATCAATGTCTGTTGTTTATAAGCCACCCAGTCTATGTGTTCTATTATAGCAGCCTGAAATGGACCTAAGACACCTCATAAGAAGAGGAGATGAGGACACAGACCCACACAGAGGGACGACCCTGTGAAGACACGGGGAGAAGACAGTGTCTACAAGATAATGAGACAGGCCTCAGGAGGAACCAGCCCTGCCCACACCTTGATCTCGGACTTTCAGCCTCCAGAACTCCAGGAGGATAAATGTCTGTTGTTTAAGCTGCTTAGTCGGTCGTCCTTTGTTACAGTAGCCCTAAGAGTAATACAAGGTCCAAATAATCCCAATGTATTATTTAGAGGAGATACTGTAAATACATTATTTAAACAATTCTCGATATCCATTCATTCCTTAAAAATTTTGTAGCAATCTAGTGTTTCTTCTTTAATTAGGAAATAAATAAGAGAAAAACAAAACTCTTGCTCAAATAATGGAAATGAACATATAAGATTATTACGCTAATATTAAAAGGCATCTGCAATTGTATTGAATTTCACTTTTTATATTTTGTCTTTTGCATTTAGAATGTATCAGTAGTATAGTTAAGAATATTAAATTCTAAAGTATAATCCTTACGTGAAAGGAAGGTAGTTATTATTTGAATTTAATAAATGTGTTTTTATAATCAGGTATGTTCTACATTAATCACAATGTAGGTGAATGCAAAAAGATGGTATTGTGATGAAAATATTTATGGTGTTAAAATTTTATCTTTCCTTAGAAATGATATTTTCTCTTCATCTCGAAATATCCACAGACTAGAATCCTGATCTATTGTGCTCAAGTGATAAGACAGACAAAAAGAAGAATGTGACATTAAATGGCCTGCTGTCAGAAATATGCAGAAATTACTTTTCGTAACGATGTCCAAAATAATACACATCTCTTAAAAGAGGAACGATAAAATATTAAAAATATTTTTAAGAAAGCTGACATGTCAGATTAAACGATGATGTTTTAAGATGCATTGTAGCTGTGAGATGGACCAGTCACAAAAATAAGTGGAATAAATAAAAGCCTAAGTCACTTATATTAGAAAAATTACAAAGAAATATTTCTTTGTTTTAAGCAACAAAATTTTAAAATGTGGAACCTAGATGATAATGCATGAACAACTGGGAAAATGTGATCTCACTAAGATTGTTTATTGCTAAGGATAATTATACATTTTATTGTGCTAGATATACGTATACCCTAAATTTGCTCTTTTAACCATTTTAAGTGTACAATTCAGTGGTAATAATTACATTCACAATGCTGCTCAACCATCAAGACTGTTTTCAAACCACTTTCATTACCCCAAAGAGAAACGCTGCAGCTATTAAGCAATGACTCCCCCATTTGCCCTCTCCCCAGACCCTGGTCACCATTATCCTATATTTTCTCTCTATGATTAGGGCTATTCTAGATATTTTATGTGAGTGGGATCATGCAATATTTGTTCTCTTATTTTATTTAGCATAATAAAATATTCATCTACATGGTAGCATGTGTCAGAGGCTCCTTCCTTTTTTAGGTTGAATAATATTCCACTGTATGGATAGGCCACGGTTTGTTTGGCGACTCATCCGCTGATGGACATCTGAGTTGTTTTCACTTCGTCACTATTTAAAGAATGCTTCCATGAATACTCTTGTATAATTTTCTGTTTGAGTCCCTGTTTTCAATTCTTTCCACCTGAATTTGAATAGGGAAATTGCTGGGTCATGTGGTAATTCTACTTTTAATTTTGACAGGAACCATCATACTGTTATCTGTAATGGCTGCAGCATTTTAAGTTCTCACCAGTGATGCACAAGTGTTCCAACTTATCCATAGCCTCACCAACACTTGTTCTTTTACAATTAAACATTATTTTATTTTTAAAATTTTTGTTAAATTTCTATTTTTTTGTAGAGATGGGGTATCACTGTCTTGCCTAGGCTGGTCTCAAACTCTTGGCCTCAAACTATTCTCCCACCTTAGCCTCCCAAAGTCAGGGATTATAGGCATGAGCCACTATACCTGGCCAACATTATTTTCAATTCTAAACATGTACTAAAGAATTGCTCCTAAATTAGACATGACTCACCAGACCTTGGATGGGAACCTATCAAAGATGTACCTCCTAGGTGGAAGGTAATGTTTGGGTTGGAGAGTAAGCAGTGCCTTATTTTTCTACACCTGAAAGATGATGGTTGGTGAGTGCACTAGTCCATTTTCTATTGCTTATAATGGAACACCTGAAACAGGGTATTTATATTTAAGAATAAATTATTTTTATTTTTATTTTTATTATACTTTAAGTTTTAGGGTACATGTGCACATTGTGCAGGTTAGTTACATATGTATACATGTGCCATGCTGGTGCGCTGCACCCACTAACTCGTCATCTAGCATTAGGTATATCTCCCAATGCTATCCCTCCCCCCTCCCCCCACCCCACCACAGTCCCCAGAGTGTGATATTCCCCTTCCTGTGTCCATGTGATCTCATTGTTCAATTCCCACCTATGAGTGAGAATATGCGGTGTTTGGTTTTTTGTTCTTGCGATAGTTTACTGAGAATGATGATTTCCAATTTCATCCATGTCCCTACAAAGGACATGAACTCATCATTTTTTATGGCTGCATAGTATTCCATGGTGTATATGTGCCACATTTTCTTAATCCAGTCTATCATTGTTGGACATTTGGGTTGGTTCCAAGTCTTTGCTATTGTGAATAGTGCCGCAATAAACATACGTGTGCATGTGTCTTTATAGCAGCATGATTTATAGTCCTTTGGGTATATACCCAGTAATGGGATGGCTGGGTCAAATGGTATTTCTAGTTCTAGATCCCTGAGGAATCGCCACACTGACTTCCACAATGGTTGAACTAGTTTACAGTCCCACCAACAGTGTAAAAGTGTTCCTATTTCTCCACATCCTCTCCAGCACCTGTTGTTTCCTGACTTTTTAATGATTGCCATTCTAACTGGTGTGAGATGGTATCTCATTGTGGTTTTGATTTGCATTTCTCTAATGGCCAGTGATGGTGAGCATTTTTTCATGTGTTTTTTGGCTGCATAAATGTCTTCTTTTGAGAAGTGTCTGTTCATGTCCTTTGCCCACTTTTTGATGGGGTTGTTTGTTTTTTTCTTGTAAATTTGTTTGAGTTCATTGTAGATTCTGGATATTAGCCCTTTGTCAGATGAGTAGGTTGCGAAAATTTTCTCCCATTTTGTAGGTTGCCTGTTCACTCTGATGGTAGTTTCTTTTGCTGTGCAGAAGCTCTTTAGTTTAATTAGATCCCATTTGTCAATTTTGTCTTTTGTTGCCATCGCTTTTGGTGTTTTGGACATGAAGTCCTTGCCCATGCCTATGTCCTGAATGGTAATGCCTAGGTTTTCTTCTAGGGTTTTTATGGTTTTAGGTCTAACATTTAAATCTTTAATCCATCTTGAATTGATTTTTGTATAAGGTGTAAGGAAGGGATCCAGTTTCAGCTTTCTACATATGGCTAGCCAGTTTTCCCAGCACCATTTATTAAATAGGGAATCCTTTCCCTATTTCTTGTTTTTCTCAGGTTTGTCAAAGATCAGATAGTCGTAGATATGCGGCATTATTTCTGAGGGCTCTGTTCTGTTCCATTGATCTATATCTCTGTTTTGGTACCAGTACCATGCTGTTTTGGTTACTGTAGCCTTGTAGTAAAGTTTGAAGTCAGGTAGTGTGATGCCTCCAGCTTTGTTCTTTTGGCTTAGGATTGACTTGGCGATGCGGGCTCTTTTTTGGTTCCATATGAACTTTAAAGTAGTTTTTTCCAATTCTGTGAAGAAAGGCATTGGTAGCTTGATGGGGATGGCATTGAATCTGTAAATTACCTTGGGCAGCATGGCCATTTTCACAATATTGATTCTTCGTACCCATGAGCATGGAATGTTCTTCCATTTGTTTGTATCCTCTTTTATTTCCTTGAGCAGTGGTTTGTAGTTCTCCTTGAAGAGGTCCTTCACATCCCTTGTAAGTTGGATTCCTAGGTATTTTATTCTCTTTGAAGCAATTGTGAATGGGAGTTCACTCATGATTTGGCTCTCTGTTTGTCTGTTGAATAAATTATTTCTTACAGTTATAGAGGCAAAGAAGTTTCAGGTTGAGGAATGGCATCTGGTGAGAGCTTTCTGGCTGTTGGGGAATCTCCTGAAGAGTTTCCAGGCAGTGCAGAGCATTCCATGGTGAGGGGGCTGAGTATGCTGGCTCAGGACTTTCTTCATCTCTTATAAAACCACCAGTCCCACTCCTGTGACAACTCAAAAATCCATGAACCCATGAATCCATAAATCAGCAAATCCTTTCATGAAGGTGGAGCCCTCATCACCCAATTAGCTCTTCAAGGCCCTCTCTCTCAACCTTGTCACATTGAGGATTAAGGGTTTTTTTTTTTTTGTTGTTGTTGTTTTTTGACCAAGTCTTGCTCTGTTGCCCAGGCTGGAGTGCAGTGGTGTGATCTTGGCTCACTGCAACCTCCGCCTCCTGGGTTCAAAACATTCTTCTCCCTCAGCCTCCAGAGTAGCTGGGATTACAAATGCCTGCTGCCACACGTGGCTAACTTTTCTATTTTTAGTAGAGACAGGGTTTTACCATGTTGGTTAGGCTGGTCTCAAACTCCTGACCTCTAGTGATCCTCCTGCCATGGCCTCCCAAAGTGTTGGGATTACAGGCGTGAGCCACCACGCCTGGCCTGTGATTAAGTTTTAACATGAGTTTTGGAGTGGACAAATATTCAAACCATACCAGATTTGAAAATAGTGGTGATATTTGCACAGCACTGGGAAGGAGAAAAAGAAGAAAAACGTAAGTAAATTCAGTTGTCATGAGACTCAAAAGGAAGAGTTTTATAAAGAGTCTGACAGTGTGAAAAAATTGGAGCAGGGTTGAAGGACAGCTTCAAATTAATGAACACATTGGAATATTTTACAACGATATTATTAAATCTGTTACTTTATTTCATTAGTGAGGGTTCTCCAGAGAGATAGAATCGATAGGATATAGAGATAGATGATACAGATACAGATATAGTAGGACAGATATATAGATAGATACTGATGTAGAGATAAAGATATAGGCCTGGTGTGAAGACTCATACCTGTAGTCCCAACACTTTGGGAGGCTGAGGCAGGAGGATCTCTTGAACCCAAGAGTTGGAGACCAGCCTGGGCAACATGGTGAAACTCTTTTCTCTACAAAAATTAGCCAGGTGTGTTGGTGCAGCCTGTAGTCTTAGCTCTTGGGGAGGCTGAGGTGAAAGGATGGCTTGATCCCAGGAGGTTGAGGCTGCAGTGAGCTGAGATCACACCACTGAACTCCAGTCTGAGTGACACAGCAAGACACTGACCCCCAAAAAAGATATATAGATTACAGATATAGATAAAGATGGATATTGATAGGCATAGATATAGAAATATGAGAGGGAACTTATAAGGGGAATTGGCTCATGCAATTACAAAGAATGAGAAGTCCCACCACAGGTCATATGCAAGTTGGAGAACCAGGAAGTCCAGGAGTATGGCCAATTCCAATTGTGAAAATCTCAGAACCAGGGGAGCTGATGGTGTAACTCCCATTCTGAGGCCAAAGGCCTGAGAACTTGCAAGGCCACTTGTACAGTCCTGGAGTTCAAAAGCCAGAGAACCTGGAGTTCTCATGTCCAAGGGCAGGAGAAGTGTGTCCCAGCTCCAGCTCTAGAAGGAAGGCAGAGAAGGGGAGAGAGAGAGAGAAAGAGAGAGAGTGAGTTTGACTATACTTCCCTTGCCCTTTTTTTTTTTCTTTTTTTTCTATCTGGGCCCTCAGCTAATTGGGTGATGTTTGCACACACTGAGAGTGGATCTTCCTTACTCAATCTCCTGATTTAAATACCAGTCTCTTCTGGAGACACTCTCACAGACAGACTCAGAAATAGTGCTTGACCAGCTATCTGGGTAACCCTCAAGCCAGTCGAGTTGACACTTAAAATTAATTATCACAATTCGGAACATAAACCTAGTCCTAATGCATTAGCGAATAAAATAAATGCTTGTTTTTCCAGAAAGCATGTTTGAAAATATCAAGTGTAATAGATCACACTATAAAGATAAAGCTACCAAAGGTCAATATTGATGCTCAATTAAGGGAAATTCAATGAAATGATTAATTACAGTGGTAGATAGTAAGTTTACTATTTTTTGCTGTAAGTTTTCTGAAACACTGTTGCAGTTGTACTTACTTTTATCCAAGAAGAAACATAGTCCTTAATTGTCTTTTAGACTGATTTACTACTTGATATTTTATATCTTATTTTCAAACTATGGCAATTTAAAAATTTGAGTATTCTGATATACATGAAAATAAACAGATCAATGGACTATTCCTTAATTTCATCCCTTAAAACTCATTGTACTGAATCCTGGGTTTATTGGCAGGGAGGGAAAAAAAACAGAACCCAAACCCTCCAGTGCATAGTAGAAGATAATGTACCTAAACAAAAACTATTGGTAGATTATTATCCTATGTCTGAATAAAGATTTCATAAATAAAGATTCATGAAAGTAAAATAATTACTAAAGAAAAACTATCAATACGAAGTCATTTCTTGTTTCATTTTTTCCCTTTCTACCCACAGAAATATAAATATCTGCAAAGCTTGGAGGTGAATATTGCATTTCCCAATTAACTAGTGTCTTGCTTTGGTATTGCAGAATGAGCTCTTTCTACAGTTGACTGAAATTGGCCAATTCATGGGTGAACAGATTCTACCTGCAATCTCCTTGCTACCACACATGTGCATAAGGGAATTTCCCTTTGAAGAGAGGATCCTTCGACACTAGGCTGCAACTGACCTAGACAGTGGCTGCCCTGTGGCCCCTGAGCCTTCTCTGGGCATGATGCCCATAGTGTGTTACCAGAGGAGGCCAAATCCTTTCCACCTCCCCTAGACACCAGGGAATAGCAACAGTTTTCTCTGCCTGGAATGCTCTCCCTCCAGGTTTTCCCAGAGCAAGCTCCTTCTCTTTCTTCAGTCCTGAGTTCAAACATCTTTGGTCCAATGCCTCTTTAAGGGGTTACTTTTTCCTCTCAAATTTCTTATCTTGATGATGGATGTATTTGCTTCTTTAGTGTACCTTTCCCCGCAGTAGGCTGTCAGCCAAAAAGAGTTGGAGTTCACAACTCTCTCACTAGCCTTTTGAATAGTACAGGAAAATTGACAGTGTGCAAGAATATCTGTTGAATGAATTCACAAAAGAAATGCAGTGTTACCTAATGCGGTCAGATAGGGGTTAAAAATGAAATCAATCACTAAAGGACAGAATGCAGATAGGCATTCTGACAATTGCCTAACAATGTGTCCTTAGACAATTTGGTTGTTGTGCAAATATCATAGACTATGCTTATACAAACCTGAATAGCATAGCTGATCACACATCTAGGCTATATGGTATGGTATATTTGCTACCCGGATACTCACTTGTACAGCCTGTTACTCCACTGAATACTGTAGGCAATTGTAACTCAATGATAAGTATGTGTGTATCTAAACAAATCTAAACACAGAAAAAGTAATGTGTTGCTCTATGATGTTGCAATGACTGCATGTCACTAGGCTATAGGAAATTTCCAGCTTCATTATAATCCCGTGGGCGCACATCATTTATGTGTTCTGTCATCAAAACATTGTTACGTGGTACATGATGTAATTTAAATCTGTATGCTGCTGATGGAAACACTGCCTAAATCATAAGTGTACCTACATTTAAACTAAGTCTAAATTAGATACGTATCAACAAACAGACATGCACTGGCAAAACAGTGATAAGATGGTTTTTCTATTGTGATTTTTATATTGCCATGTTATTCTTTTTAGCATGAAGTTAGCAAGCTTTGTCATTTCTATAATGTTTATATCTGTAGTTAAAGTATATCTCATTGTAAATTTTTATTTAAAAGATTGCACATCTTTCATTTTTTGGAGCTAATGTTCTTTGACTCATGGATAAGAACTAAAAGCCCCTCGTCTATTCTATATTATTCTATTGTATTTATCTTCCCCCACATATAAATTATATAATATTGGTTAATTGTTTTACAGCCTATTGGTCTGGTATAGGGTCCTTTCTGCTTGAACAGCAGTAATCTTTTTGATTTCATCATGATGAAACCCAACAGATGCAATAGGCTTCAGCCAGTACCAATGAAGAAAACATAAAAGGGAGCAAAACAATTTGTGAACAGCATCAGCTTATCATAGGTGGTAATGCATGACAGCTTATAGAAGATTTCTAATACCTCCATCATTCCATATCTGGGACATGTGTATTCCCAAAGGACTAATCTAAGCATGAAACTACCACCTCAATTCAGGTGATCTGAAGTTAGAAGTATTTACCAAATCAGCTGTGGGGCACCCTCATCTTTTATGTCTAGATGTTCCTGGAGTCCCCCCAGGTATAAGTGATTGCCCCAATCATAAGGTCAGCTCAGTCAAGCCAACTACTCATAACTTGATCTCATCAAGGACACACAGGTGTTTGTCCACTCCATTGCCCTCAACTGGACTCTCATTTGTCTTGAATATGTTATGCCTAAATACCCATCAATTCATGGAGTTACTAGTGCACAATAAGTAGAGCAAGGGGCAAATCTTCAGGCGTACCTGAGGTTACAGGAAAAGTTTCAGAAACACCTGCTGAATATTTTATTCATAGAGGAAAAAGAAAGGAAGGAGCAGGGTGAGCAGGAGAAGGAAAAGAAGAGGAGAACATGAGTAGGAGGAGAAAAAGAATAGAAATGGAGGGAAGGGGAGAAATGAATGAGCAAAGGTTGGACCACACGACTTCTCAGTGCTTCTTACATGAGGTTGACCGATGATGATTTGTCTTCATTTGATCTTTCAAAATGACTGATTTGAAGGGTAATTATGCCATGTTATCATATGATTTTAAGAAATATTTACCAAATTAGGCACTGTGCAAACATTGGAAATATAATGACGTGTAAGAGAAACTTCCCAAATGAGACTCTACCATTTGCAACAACATGGATGGAAGTGGATGTCATTCTGTTAAGTGAAGTATACCAGACACAGAAAGACAAACATCACATGTTCTCACTTATTTGTAGGAGCTACAGATTAAAACAATTGAACTCATGGAGATAGAGAGTAGAAGCATGGTCACCAGAGGCTGGGAAGGGTAGTAGGGGGTGGAGGGGGAGGTGGGGATGGTTAACGGCTGCAAAAGAATGCTTAGAAAGAATGAATAAGACCTAGTATTTGATAGCACAACAGGGTGACTATAGTAAAAAAAAATTAATTTTACACTTTAAAATAAGTAAAAGAGTATAATTTGATTGTATATAACATTACGCATAAATGCTTGAGGTGATGAATACCCCATTCACCCTGATGTAATTATTACACATTGTGTGTCTATATCAAAATATCTCACATACCCCATAAATACATACAGCTACTATGGACCCACAAAAATTAAAAATTAAAAATTTTTAAAGGAGAAGTTTCCTGGATTCAAAAGCTGTTACTACTCACTTATATAGAATTGATCTTTCTCTTCTTCTCTCTGTCTCTCTCAGTCTTACACACACAAGCATGCACAAACACACACACACACACACACACACACTTCATAATAGTTCTGGTTATCTAGCAGAAAATATACAAACTGATGTCTCAAAGAAGCTTCATCTCTAACATTGGCTAATAAATTGAGTAGTTTCCTAGGAACAATACTTTCAAGTACAGTTATGTTAAAAGGTTGTCAAAACTTATACAACTTCATAAATGGCATAACAGAACAAGCTGGAAGTGAGGCAGTCTGTATTAAATTAGAACACTTAATATCTTTTTCCCAATAACAAAATGAACTTGATATGTCCCCTGATGTAAAAAGCATTAACTGGCTTTTATATACAATTATGTCACATGAAATAAAACTGACTGGAAGAGTATAAACAAACAGGAAGTTAATTAAAATATAGCCAGGTTGTGAAGTGACCAGCAGGCTGTCACAGTGAATTTCCTAGTAAAAGAACTAGGGGATTATAAATATTAAAAATCTAATAAGAGATTGCACAATGTTTAACTTGAAAGGACACTATGCATAATAATAGAATAATAGAAGGTTACATAAATACAGAAAGTTACAACATAATCTTCACATTTTAATGACAGAAATTGTCAGTTTCTTATAAACCTACAAACACACACACCCTAAGACCTAGAAGAACTACTCCTAAATATTTACTGGAGAAAAATGAAAATGTACCCATATTTGTGCAAGGATGTCCATAGTAGGTTGATTCATAAAAGCCCAATACCAGAAACACTCCAGACATTATAGGAGAAGGAAAGAAAAACTGTGGCATATTTGGTATGGACTACTGATATCCACATAAGAAAAATATGGACACTAATATACACAATAACATTGATGAATCTTTAGAAAATGATGTTGAAAGAAAGAAGTCACAAAAATACAAACTGCATATTTTTATTTACATAAATTAGAGGGAAAAAAATCTAGGGTGAAAAAAATGTTGTTCCCTAATTGGGTGAGAGTGAGAATTGACTGAGTATTGCGGGAAAGAGCTGAGTGAGTTCTTCAGTTTCATAGAGGTTTAAGTTATACAGATATATGCTTTTGTCAAGACTTTTGGGCAGGTATACCCAGGATTATGCATGTTACTTAGGTATGCAAATTTTACCTAAAATAAAACAAGAAGAACCGTAAGCAAGTATCAATAATATGTATGCTAAAGTGTTGGGCAATGGAATGTAATGCATCTGCCACTTATCTTTAAATACTTAAAAAAATAAGACAACTAGCTTGAATGAAAAGAAGTGTAAACCAATAGATAGTATAAGGTACATCTATACAGATGTCATTACGTTCCAATTACCAACAAATATAGAAACTGGTGTACTAAATAAACTTTGAGAGGTAATTGTTGCTTTTAAGAGTATCCAGATACTACCTGTTCACAAGTTAAAACTTTACATTTATTATACTGGAGGAGCTATTCCTGGCTTTCTTTTAACCAGAAATAAATATTTCATCTGTATTTTGGGGTTTCTTTTTTTTAAGATTATCAGGCATTAGATTCTCATAAGGAGTGCACAACCTAGATCCCTCACATGCACAGTTCACAATAGGGTGAACCTTCCTATGAATCTAATGCCGCCGCTGATCTGACAGGAGGCGGGGCTTGGGCGGTAATGCAAGTGATGGGGAGCGGCTGTAAATACAGATGAAGTTTTGCTTATTCGCCAGCTGCTGTGTGGCCTGAATCCTAACAGGTCACAGACTGGTACTGACTGGTTCATGGCTTGGGGGTTAGGGACCCCTGTTCTTCATTCTATGTCCACGTGTACACATTATTTAGCTACCACTTATAAGTGAGAACATGTGGTATTCGTCTTTCTGTTTCTGAGTTGTTTTACCTGAGATAATAACTTCCAGTTCCATCCATGTTTCTGCAAAAAACATGGTTTTATTCTTTTTTATGGCTTAATACGACTCCATTGTGTGTGGAGTCACATTAAGCTACATTTTCTTTATGCAGTCATCTATTGATGGGCACTTAGGTTGTTTGCATATCCTCTCTATTGTGTATAGTGCTGTGATGAACATATGAGTACAGGTATGTTTTTGATGTAATGATTTCTTTCTCTTGGGTAAATACCCAGTAGTAGGATTGCTAGATCAAATGGTAGTTCTATTTTTAATTCTTTGAGAAATCTCCATAGTGTTTTCCATAGAGGTTGTACTAATTTACATTCCTACCAACTGTGTGTAAGCATTCTTTTTTCTCTGTGTCATCACCAATATCTGTTACTTTTTCCTTTAATAATAGTCATTCTAACTGGTGTGAGATGGTATCCCATTGTGGTTTTAATTTGCGTTTCTCTAATTATTAGAGCAATTTTTCACATGCTTGTATAAGCATTCGATTATCTTCTTTTAAAAAATAGCTATTCAAGTCCTCTGCCTACTGTTTAATGGAGTTATATGGTTTTTAGTTCTTGTTGAATTATTTGAGTTCCTTGTAAATTCTGGGTCTATATTTCAATTGAGGATTAAGCTGCAAAGAATAGTGGTGTTTATTTTTTCAACAGAAATATAAAGTTATTACATAAACTTATAAACTGGAGCAATAGTATGGATTGGATAACAAATTCATTTTTCAATTATTTTGTATGTATGCATAAAAAGATTATCAAAAGGGAAGGTTATTATTTATTAATTTCTCAGAACTTCTTTATAAATTTTTGTACACTGGAGATCATATTATATATTACTTAAACAGTTTCCACAATTAAACAAACTCTAATCATACTTTGTAGAAGATAAAATAGTTATTAATGTATAACATCAAATTAATAAAAACATTTTAATCTCATATCTTCATAAATGTAATAATTAGTAACTTAGCTATTCTTTTTGCAAGAAGTGATCACAAAACAGAACTAATCTCTCAACAACACTACTTGCTTATGCTTATACATTTATTCATTATATAAAAGTTATTCAACTGAGATTTATAGTTAAGTATATTTATTATTTATATATAAATCTCAGTTGAATAACTTTTATATCTCAAAAGAAAGAACCTCAGCTCAAAGAATTAATGCCGAATAAATTTCCCGAAACTCTGGTAATATTTATTAGGAGAAAATAAAGGTAAATTTATAATCATAAGCAAGTAATCTCAGCTCAATGAATATAATATTATAGTGATTATAATCATTATAATATTATAATGATTATTATAATATAATGGCGTATTCACTAAATTCTTGAACAAAGAATGCTCTAATCAGCCCATTTATTTAAAAGCATTTAAGTAGGTAAGTATTTCTAGCTTAGCAGTTATTATGCTCAGAAATGTGAAGACTTGAGGAATTTCTGTGTTGCTCTTCAGAAGTGTAAAGCCATTTAGCTGTACGATCTTTTGATGTTACCTTTTTCCCTGACAGATTTTATGAATTTATCTTTGTCTCAAAAGTTCACCATGATGTACTGATGTGAGTCTATTTTATTTAATGTGCTGAGAATTAATTTTTTTTTCTGGAGATCTTATCTTTTATTTCTGGGAAAAGCATTATTTCTTAACATGAATCCTACCAGCAAACTTTTGGCACTTTTTTTGTTTTTGAGACAGGATCTGACTCTGTCAATCAACTTGGAGTGCAGTGGCACCATCAAAGCTCACTGCAGCCTCAACTACCCTGGCTCAAGTGATCCTCTTACCTCAGCCTCCCAAATAGCTGAGACTGCAGGCATATGCCACCACACCTGGCTAATTTTTGTATTTTTTGTAGACATGGGGTTTTGCCATGTTACCCAAGCTGACCTCGAACTCCTGAGCTCAAGTTATCCTCTCAACTTGGCCTCCCAAAGTGCTGGGATTACAGGTGTGAGCCACTGAGCCTGGCCAGACAAATTTTTGTAGGTGTTATAGGTTATACTTTCTCCAAGTGGTTAATTGCCTTTATTGATTCCTTAATTGTAATTTTAGCATGTTTTCTTGTCATATGTAATCTAAAATTTTCTTCTTTCTCAATTTTGCTGGTGTGGCTCAATTACTATTCATTCCATATTCTCTCTTGATAATGTATAAGTTATCCTATTCTTTTATTTTTATTTTTACTTAGGTAGGATTTGAACCTATTCCATTCTTTTTTTCTATCTCTTAACAATAGCACTTCTTTCATAAGCAAGTACATATATTTTGCTAATATTATTTGCAAATACATTTCCAGCTACTTCTCACTATAGTTTGAATGTCTCTAAAATTGTTTAGTTCCTACTCTCTTTCTCATTCATAAAATTAGTTTTATATAATTATTAACTTATTTTTCTGCCAACTCCTAAATTTTCACTGAGTCGGTTTAGTGCATTAAAGCCTGTCTAGTTTATAATTTTCTTTATGGTATATTTCTTGCTTCCAATAACTTTATTTTGACAATTACGTAACACATTCATAGATAATAACCTTATCCATTTTGGTTTATCATTCTCCAGGGTTTCATTCTTTCTCTGTTGAGATGTGTGCACATTTGATTTTGCAGACCTTTAAATTAGGTGTCAACAATGAAAATCCTTTTAATTAGTTCAGTGCTTTTTTAACTAGAATTTTTTTTTTTTTTTTTTTTGGAGACAGAGTCTTGCGCTGTTGCCCAGGCTGGACTACAGTGGTGAGATCTCAGGTCACTGCAGCCTCAATCTCGTGGGCTCAAGTGATCTTCCCATCTCAGCCTCCTGAGTAGCTGGGACCACAGACATGTACGACCACACCTAGTTTTTTTTTTTTTTTTTTTTTTTTTTTATTTTTGTGGAGACAGGGCCTCACCACATTGCCCAGGCTGGTCTTAAACTCCTAGGCTCAAGTGATCCTCCTACTTCAGCCTCCCAAAGTTCTGGGATTACACGAGTGAGCCACTGTGCCCAACCTAGAATATTTTTATTTAACTCAGAAAATAGCTTTTGGGCTGAACTTCCTTAAGTGCTATAGTTTTTCATTATATGCTGTTGCTATTATTAATATTAATGTTATTGTTACTAATAACATTTTGTTGTTTGTACAACTTGCCATCTGTTTCCTGCAGCAGCTTGGTTTGCTGGGAATGTCACCTGTGTGTTCTGATTCCCAGGTCTCCTGACTTGAATAACTCATTTTTTTGTTGACTCACTGGATTTTAGGCCATGCCATTAGATTATTCTAAATGGCCGTGCCTTCTTGGAAGGTACAGATAAAATGGTCTCAACCACCATGGGACCATTAATCAGTAGAGAACACTATCCGCAGCCTATGGAAGTTCCTAGAGGAGTCTGTGGATAACAGAAGTCAGGCTCACTCACTTTCCATCATTCCAGCATCTCTGGAGGAAATCTCCAAGCCATAATCTGACACTTTCTGGTACTCACCCTGAGATTCCCTGGAATTGCATTTCTGATCCTTATGGCATCCACGAAGGAGAGCGCTCCATGTAAATTTCCTTGCTGTTCTTCCAACTACATCCAAACTTCACTCATGTACAACTTTCTGGGGGCCTCAGCCGTTGAGTCAAGGAGGGTCCAGTTGCTGGAGCTTGGAGTGCAGGTGAATCAAGCTGTGTTAGAGGTATTATCTTTTCAGAATCAACTTCCACAAATGGTGATTTATGAACTCATGTATTACATATGGGTCTCATCCTTTTAATATTAAATATAATATACCAGATATATGGCTAAACCATTTCAACGATTGAGGTGGAATGAATTCATTTTTTACAGTGCTAATAACAACCTGGATTTTTACTGTGTATATTATATACAAATACAACACAATTTTTGTAAAATTCTTAATAAGAAAATCCCAACCTCCTCTACTGGACTGTTCTTTTAATAACTTCTTTCCTGGTTCCTCTTCTCTCATACCTACCTACTCTAATTATCACCCAAGGACTCAATACTAGTATAATGAGTCCTAAAAGACATTTTTTCTTATATATTTTGACATAAAGAACACCTGACTAGAAGCCATATCCCCTGGATGCTGGTCCTGAGAATGAGACAGCTGAAGCCTTTTATGAATTTGCAAAGAAGGAGATAAGCTTTGAATGAGACCTTGGAGTTGGGGGCATTTGTGTGCATGTCACTTTCATCCTGTTTTTCTTCTCTCTCTTTCTCTCTGTGTGTGTGTGTGTGTGTGTGTGTGTGTCTGTGTGTTTTAATTTCAATAGATTTAGAACTCCAAGCGGCTTTTGGTTACATGACTGAATCATATAGTGATGAAATCTGGGATTTTAGTGGACCTGTCACCAGAATAATGTACATTGTACCCAATAGGTACTTTTCATCCCTCACGTTCATCCTAGCCTCCTGCTTCTGAGTCTCTAGTGTCCATTATAACACTGTGTTTGCCTCTGTGTCCCCATACCTTAGCTCCCACTTATAAGTGAAAGCATGCAGTATCTGATTTCAATTCCTAAGCTAATTCACTTAGAATAATGGCCTCCAGTGACATCCAAGTTGTTAAAAAAGACATTATTTTATTCTTTTTTATGGCTTAGTAGTTGGAATTGTAGCAGGACGAGCCACAGACAAAACTCCTCAGACACCGGGTGAAAGAAGGAAGAGGCTTTATTTGGTCGGGAGCATCAGCAGACTTGCGTCTCAAGAACTGAGCTCTCTGAAGAAAGAGTTCCTGGCCCTTTTAAGGGTTTACAACTCTAAGGGGTACACATGAAAGGGTTGTGATAGATTGAGATCTATAGATAGCACATGTGGTTAGAGTGGGGGGTTAGTCTTTAACCTCAGGCCTGGTCAGTGGTGCCAGTTGGTCTTGCCACTGACTTCATTCCTGTTGTTTTTCAGCTTTTACTTCCTTCTTCTCTTTAGAGATAGGAGACAGTAAGAGAAATGGCCTCTCTCCTCAGAATGACTGTATTTTGTATGATATATGGACATGAATTTTGAATAGGCAGGAATGAAATGTTATGATCTGAATTATACCCCTTACACACACACACAGGCACACACGTGCACACACACTTCATATGTTGAAGTCCCAACCCACAATGTGACTATATTTGGATACAGGACTTTTGGGAGACAATTCAGGTTAAATAAGGTCATATCCATGGAGTTCCAATTCTGTAGTACTACTGGTCTTATAAGAGGAGGAAGAGAGAGAGATACCTCTTGTTTTCTCCCCACCATGTGAGGCCACAGTGAGAAGCTAGATATCTGTAAGCAAAGAAGGAAGCCCTCACAGAAACAGAACCTTCTTGGACCTTGATTATGGACTTCCCAGGCCCAAGAACTGTGAGGAACTAAATTTCTCTTGTATAACTGTGAAAGAAAAATAAATTTTGGGACCTCCAAATCACTAAGCTAAAGGGAAAAGTCAAGCTGGGAACTGCTTAGGGTAAACCTGCCTTCCATTCTGTTCCAAGTCCCCCCTCTGCTCACTGAGATAAATGCATATCTGATTGCCTCCTTTGGAGAGGCTCATCAGAAACTCGATAGAATGCAACCATTTGACTTGGAAGCTCCCCGCTTTGAGTTGTCCCTCCTTTCCAGATGGAACCAATGTTCATCTTACATATGTTGATCGATGTCTCATGTCTCCCTAAAATGTATAAAACCAAACTGTGCTCTGATCACCTTGGGCACATGTCGCGAAGACCTCCTGAGGCTGTTTCACTGGCACGCATCCTCAAACTTGACAAAATAAACTTTCTAAATTAATTCAGACCTGTCTCAGATTTTCGGGGTTCACATACTTCATCATTCTATTTCGCTATGGCAGTCCTAGAACAGTTTCAATTCTTCTTGGTCTTCTGTTGTCTGGAAGTCTGTGTTTTCCTTCAGAAACTCAAATAATTTTCTAAGTAAGGTGTGAAACAATTTAGTATTATCTAGGTCCCAAGCTTTTCTGTTATGACTGAAATTGAAAATAGTAATAGAGTGAATAATTAAAATAGATTCTTATTATCCTCCTATGAGACACCAGTTGACAACAGAGAAGGATCCCTAGGTTGCCCATGTCATTGAATATACAAGTATCTATTTGTTTGAGCTAGGGAATTCCTCTTCTCCATATGGTTCTAAATGTTCACCACCACAGTCTCATTCCAAGGAGGAGGAGAAAGTGAGCTCACCTCCCACTGGCTAGAACTAAGCAGAGTTTATTCTGGCCAGCCCAGTAAAAGACAACATTTTGGGTCTTCTATGGGAGTGGGAAAATGAATATCCGAGTACAGCAGGAAATCTCTTCCACTTTTTGCATAATGGTGCAATAATTTTGAATCATTACAAGTAAAGATATGTTTAATTACTTCCATGAATAATAGCTTAATTGTTTTTTATTCTTCAACTTTTATTTTAAGTTCTTGGGCACATGTGCAGGATGTGCAGGTTTGTTACATAGGTAAACATGTGCCATGTTGGCTTGGTGCAAAGATCAACCCATCACCCAGGTATTAAGCCCAGCATCCATTAGCTATTCTTCCTGATGCGGTCCTTCCTCCTGCACCTCCACCCTCTCACAGGCCCCAGTGTGTGTTGCTCCCTCCCATGTGACCATGTGTTCTCATTGTTCAGCTCCTACTTACAAGTGAGAACATGTGGTGTCTCGTTTTTGTGCCTGTGTTAGTTTGCCAAGGATAATGGCCTTCAGCTCTATCCATGTCCCTGCAAAGGACATAATCTCATTCGTTTTAATGGCTGCATGGTATTCCATGGTGTATATGTACCACATTTTCTTTATCCAGTCTATCATTGTAGGGCATTTGGGTTGCTTCCATGTCTTTGCTATTGTGAGTAGTGCTGCAATGAAGATATGTGTGCATGTATCTTTATAGTAGAATGATTTATATTTCTTTGGGTATATACTCAGTAATGGGATTTCTGAGTCAAATGGTATTTCTGCTTCTACATATTTGAGGAGTTGCCAAACTGTCTTCCATAATGGTTGAACTAATTTATACTCCCACCAACAGTGTAAAAGTGTTCATTTTCCCCTGCTTAATTGGTTTTAATATTGTTGGCTGTTAATTTTTGTCCGTCAACTATTTTAAAAGATGATTCCAGAGATTCTTAGCTTCCACCGTTGCCCTTCTCAACACCGATTTGTGTGTGTGTGTCTGTGTGTGTGTGTGTGTGTATAACACCTATCTTTAACTCCTTTCAAAGGTTTCTCTGCTGTTAGAATTTGTTAGTGTAAGTGTATGCGAGAGAGAGAGAGAGAGAGAGAGAGAGACAGGTGTCTGCACACAAGCTTTTTTTTTCTTTTTCTGAAAAGTCAGAAAGACTTTTTAGGGTCAGGAATGTATTATTCTTATACATCTTTGGCTATACTCCTGATCCAGCTGTTTATGCTTCTTTTACAGGAATATTTATACTTTATATGTCATTTTGGGTTCTGCTGTCTCTGCCTTTGATGTTTCTAATCCATGTTTTCTTGTTGATAGCATACATAATTTTTTTATGTTTTATGATAATCCCTGCATTCAATCTTCTAGAATAATTTAGTTTCCTGTGATGCACATTTTCTTATATTTGCTTACCACTATGGATACTGTTTTATTTAGCATATTGTACTTAAAAATTACATTCTCCAAACGCAACTTTGAAAAAATATTAATAATATCTCTAAGGCTTGAATCTGTGCATTTTTAAAATTCTATTTCAGTGGGAAGCTGTCACTCTGAAGTTGGTCTCCTTTCTTTAATCTGGAGCTTACTGTCAAATAACTTTATTTTCCTTTGCTTCATGTGGCCAGTCAGTACAGACCTTGTTCACTACATTCTTTATTCAAAGTCTTGTTATTTTTTAGGCTATGTGTGTTTTGCTCCAGAACCCATGAGCAACCTCAGCCATGAATTAGGTGAAAGACAGAGATCTTGATTATATCTTTATTTTCTGAAAATGCCTACTTTATATTTAAAATCTATTTAACATTGATCCATCACCGGTTGAACTTGAATAGAAGGTGATGGAAACTGTGAAGTTCAGTGTAAGTTACCTATTGTTTTGGAAGCAATTGAGTATATACTGAAACAGACTAACAGATTTAATGGTTTGGTATAGATTGAAGTACCTGATGTTTATAACTTTGCTTCCTAAATCCATATACAGAATTTTGTAAATCAATCTTAAAACATGTGAAATTGAAAAATAATATACTTTTTTCTAAAAATATATTTAAAAACTCATATCTATTATAATAAATTGCTACCAATCATAAGTCCAATAGAAAAGCCACAATATTCAACCAGAAATATTAATCCACATTGAGATTTCACTATTTGTAGATGAAATCAACAGCTTTTTTTGTGTAATTGCTATTTAAACTGAAGGGCCACGACATTTGATGTAAAATTGCCCTTTTTGGTGTTTGTCAAGAGAAGCTAATAGGGGCTCCCTTGCATTTGAAACACAAATGAGTGCCTTTAATCTTCCAAACTCAGAAAATCAAATTCATTACTACCCAAGAATAGGCCAGAGATTTTACTACTTGAGAGATTAAGTGAACAAATGGCAAAATTATTTTCAATAACATAGAGGTTGCAAATACTTATGTATAGATCAAAGAAATAATGTGCAATTCTGGAGTGAAGGATCAGAACAGATCATTGACATAAATAATTTGTCTTTCTCATGTAAATACCATAAATCAATTTAAACAGAGAAACCTCCATTGGAGATTTGCATGATAAAACGTTTTACTATAGAGGGCCAAATACTCTTGAAATATTTAACATTCCAAAAGCTTTGACCACTTGACCATTTCTAAGAATGCTATAGTAGTCAAATCTTCCAGGCTGAGTTTCAACAGAATATGTCAATGTTTTTAATAAACTCTTAAGTGTCTCTGATGGAAGGGCATTATCCATTCTCTTTTTGTATTAGATAAACCACCAGTGGATACTGTTTACAAAATATGGCTGGACAAAGTATTTGATAACTCTTGGCAAGCTTATCATGCAATCTTCAATGGGAGAGTAAAAATTACAGTTAATATTGCCATAATCTGAAATATGAATATGCCATGTTTTCATGTGTAATTTGCATCCAAAGAGAGAAATATGGACAGAATAAAACAACAACTATGACCAACGAACAAAACAAGAGTGACTGGGAATTTGGGAAAAAGTACAGAATTCACGCTGTCTAAAAATCTAGGACTAAACATTGGTAGAAATGGACCATCACTAAAACAGAACTATACCCCATCATGGAATTATTAAAGATGTACTGAAGACCAGCCTTAAAACTTCTAGAAATGTGGAATAAGATAGGTGCTAGGATCTTCATGACCTTAAGTCTTCCCATTACTTTATTAGAGATTATAGCATTAACTCCAAAAATGATTGTGGAAATCCATTTAGATTATCTGGAAGTTCATTAAAAAGTTGGACATACAATATGAACTCAATAAATGGAGAGTCCAAATAAAATATGCACAGTCCATTCCTACTCAGCAATGTTAGGAATTAACTTGCATATCAGAATTGCTTTATATTCTAAGACAAAGTAGAAGAGAATTTGAGCAATAAAAATATATGTCCTTTAATCCTTAATATGGCTATTTTACTGTATGTGTCTTGAGAAATTCATAAAGTAATGAGATGCTTTATGCTGGAAAGCCAAGATGTCCATGCAGGTGCTCTAGCAGAACTTCAGCTCTCACCACTGTTGGAAGACAGTCTTGAGCATTTTTCAGAATGATTGTTGTGGTTGGAACCACCAATATTAACTGAGGATACTTCTTGGAAATCATGTTCTGATACCCTATTTAGTGATGTCTTCTTATAGGAATTACATTTATACATACATATATAGTGAGCCCAAAATATCTGTGACAGGTCTCAGTCAATTTAGAAAGTTTATTTTGCCAAGGTTATGGACATGTCTGTGACACAGCCTCAGGAGGTCCTGATGACGTGTGCCCAAGGTGGTTAGAGCACAGATTGGTTTTATACATTTTAAGGAGACATAAGACATCAATCCATGCATGTAAGATGTACATCGGTTCAATCTGGAAGGGCAGGAGAACTGGAAGTGGGGGTTTCCAGGTCATATGTAGATTTAACATTTTTCTGATTGGCAATTGATTGAAAGAGTTATTATCAGTAGAAAGGAATGTCTGGGTTAAGATAAGGGGTTGTAGAGACCAAGGTTTTATCATACAGATGAAGCCTCCAGGTAGCAGGCCTCAGAGATAGAATAGATTATATATATTTCTTATACTTAAGATCTGTGTTGGTGTTAATGCTGGAGGGGTATAATGAGGCATGTCTACCCCCTCTTCCATCATGGCTTGAACCAGTTTTTCAGGTTCACTCTGGAATGACCTTGGCTAAGAGGAGGGATCCATTCAGATGGTTAGAGGGGTCTTTAAATTTTATTTTTGCATATATATATAAGCATTTACTATATATAGTAAATATATTTTTATATATTTTACTGTAAATATATTTATTATATATAGCAAATATTTTTATACAGTAAATATATTTATTATATAATACATATATTTTTATATAGTAATATATGTATTATATATAGTAAATATATTTATTATATATAATAATATATTTAACATCTATAATAGCTATAGATATATAGATGTTATATATAGATATCTATATGTAACACCTATAGATATATATAGATGTTATACATTTATATATAAGATCTATAAATATATACACTTCAATATAAAATTTATGTATAAAAATGTGCATATACATTTTTATTTATATATTTATATATGTTGTATATATTTATAGATAGTGAACTATCTATAAATATATATTTATAGATGTCATATATTTATATATAGTGAAATATATATGAATACTTATATTTTATACAACATATTTATATAAATAATATATATTAATATATAATATATAAAATATAATGTATATAAATATATATAAATGATGTTTTCAGTGTTAAAACTTATTCATAAACAATTTGAGTGTTCTAAGGAAAATCATGACACGATATTTTCCCATAAAAATTTTATATTGACATTTTAGCTAAGATGAGCCCCGTTCATGGTAAGCAGTGAAAAGGTGAAAGTACAAACCGCAGGGATTTGGTTCATCAAATAGGTTATTCATGCCTTCCAACATCTTTCTGGAGTGTCTGGACTCCTTGGAATTGCTCAATTCCTATCATGTTTCTTTTCGGTATGTCAGTCATCACTGAGTTACTTCATTCTCTCCAGCTATAGGGCATTTTGGACCGATTGTCTTCAATGGTCTAAGGGCCTTTATGTGCCATAGCAAAGTGACGTGACTCCTGGTTTGGGGTAGCATTGAATATACATGGCATGGCTGACATGTTGGCTCCCCTACTCACCAGGCGATGAATCATTTTAGTCGATGTGTAGCAGTTTTTTGTTTCCGATGCTTCATTTAATCTACCTGAACCAGAAGGTCCTCTTGATTAAATGGATATGAATGACTGAAGAATTATACTTAAAAATGTTAAAGCAGACAGAGAAACCCCAAACATACTTAGTTTTATGAACCTCACAAAAATATGTCATTTTAAAATGTGAGATATGAACATTATTTAATAAAATAATTACTTACAATTTAAAATTTTTGCCAATCCTGATATGATGCCTCATGTATTTGACATTAATTTTGAAGTTACTGCTCCTGTGATTGGCAAGAAAGTGCCTTAACTTAACACCGAACAATAGCAAACCATTTTTTCCCATTATTTTATTTTTGGGGGTCCTTGCTGAGTTCCACTCTGATTATTGTATATCCAATACTTAATCATGGAATGTATTTAACAAATAAATAGATAGCGGAGGTTTACATATTATAAGGTGTTTTATTATTCACTAATTTTACCTTTGAATTTTATAAATTCTTATATACTTGGGTGATTACTTTAAAGGTATGAAATATAAGAAATTGCTGGGGCTGGGTGCGGTGGCTCACGCCTGTAATCCCAGCACTTTGGGAGGCCAAGATGGGCGGATCACGAGGTCAAGAGTTCAAGACCAGCCTGGCCAACATAGTGAAACCCTGTCTCTACTAAAAATACAAAAATTAGCTGGATGTGGTGGCAGTCGCCTGTAGTCCCAGCTACTCGGGAGGCTGAGAGAGGAGAATCGCTTGACTCCGGGAGGCAGAGGTTGCAGTGAGCCAAGACTGAGCCATTGCACTCCAGCCTGGGGGACAGAGAGATAGTCTGTCTCAAAAAAAAAAAAAAAGAGAAATTGCTGTTAGGCCGGGCATGGTGGTTCATGCCTGTAAACCCAACACTTGACGAGGCCGAGGCAGGAGGGTCACTTGAGCCTAGGAGTTTAAGACCAGCCTGGGCAACATGGCCAAACCTCATCTCTACAAAAAGTAAAAAAAATTGGCCAGTCATCTTGGTGTGTGACTATTGTCCTAGCTACTCAGGAGGCTGAGGAGAGAGGATTGCTTGAGCCCAGGAGGTTGAGGCTATAGTGAGCTATGATTGTACCACTGCACTCCAGCCTGGGGAACAGAGCAAGACCCTGTCTCAAAATAGATAAATAAATAAAATACAATAAGTTACGGCTAAAATATGTCCAATGATACAACTCACCCCTGCAGTATATGCACTCACACATCATGTATTTATACATATTTGTGTTTTGTTATTTCTAATCTATTATGGAGTAAATTTGTTGCAGAATAGCGGGCTTAGAAATTTAAGGCATTTAAAGGTTTTAAAAGAAGTGGGATAATAAAATGTAAATAAATTGATGTTTTTATAAGAGCTAATTATTTTAATAAAGGATAAATTATGTCAATACATAATTTGTAACATCTAATTAAAATTGCAATATTTTATTAGGTTGGTGCAAAGGTCATCATGGTTTTTGTTATTAAAAGTAATGCAAAAACTACCATTGCTTTTGCACCAACCTAATACTATATTAATATACATTATATTATTTAAATATTGATACATTGATTAATATAGTCTGTATTATTTTATTTGTATTATTATAATTTTTAATATATAATTTATAACAGAAAGCACAAATTCATATCTGTTAATAGCCAACTTAATGCCAAATTAATCCTTTTTACTTTAATGATGCAACTACTTTAATGGCCATATAAGTGGCCACTGACTTCTTCGTATTTTTCTCTAGTATATTGAGGTAGGCTATTCATGAAAACAGCTATTTTATTGGACACTTTATTCTCTGATCTTCTATTGCTTTGATAATCTTAATAAACCACAACAGAGTCACGTAACTGCCTTAAGTGTGCCTGGATATCATGTTTCATAGGAAAGTCCTGGAAAATGGCCCCATGAGAGTGATTTCCATCCTTTGTATTTTATGTGTATGGTGATTATACTCCTGGGAACTTTTCAAGGTGAATACGCCTAACAGGAATGTAAACAGAGAGTGTGTTCCATTCTGCAGGAAGAAGTAGGTTAACTTCAATATCCCTTTGGTACTTTTATCAGCTTGCAATATATTTGGATATTTCTGCAGATCTATCAAAATTTATTGCATACACTTGGCTCTGTTTATACTTTCAGCTTTTTCTCCTTTTCTACTTTCAGGATTACAATGAAGTCTTCACTTAAAATTGTGAACAGGTTCCCGGAAACAGAGACTTTAAGCCAAACAATGTATAAAGAAACCAATTCTGGCCGGGAGTGGTGGCTCATGCCTGTAATCCCAGCACTTTAGAAGGCCAAGCCCAGGAGTTCGAGACCAGTGTGAGCAACATAGTGAGACCTCATCTCTACAAAAAATATTTCAAAATTAACCGGGTGTGGTTGTGCACAGCTATAGTCCCAGCTACTTGGGAGGTGGAGGTGGAGGATTGCTAGAGCCCAGGAAGTAGAGGCTGCAGTGAGCTGACATTGTACCACTGCACTCCAGCCTGGGTGACAGAGTGAGACCATGTCCCAAAAAAGGAAAAAGAAAGGAAAAAGAAACCAATTTTCTCTTAAGGTGATTCATATAAACAAGAGTTAAGTTCCTAAGGTATATTTCTGGTCCCCAAAACATCGTCAAACTTCTAGATAAGGACTTTTTACACTTGTAATATTAAACATTGAAATACATGTGAGATAAACATATATTTAAGAAAGATTAATAAAACAAGATAATTATTTACCCAATTTTTAGTGAGCCAATGAGTGACGGTGGTCATAGTGCTGGTGGGTTAATTCAAGGAATAAATGTTTGTCAAGTGAAAATTGTCAGGCGATTCTTCCTCCACCACCAAGCAATCCAAAAGCAAATGATCACAAATACAGCAGCTCACCAAGCATTTTGTACCACAGAGGTAATTGTTGTACATTTGGATGATTATCATAGACTTAAAAAATTTTATTTTACAGTAAGTTGTATTCATTCATTTATTTTCCAATCTACTTATTCAAGTTCAGGGTCTCAGGTGGCTGGAGATTTTCCCAACTGCTCAGTGTTCTAGGAGGGAACCAGCCACGGACAGGATGCCATTGCATTGCAGGGCACACTCACAGGCACCCACATCCACAATGGAACTATGTAGACACACCAATGAACCTAAAGTGCACATCCTTGGGATACAAGAGGAAACCAGGACACTTGGAGAAAACCCACAAAAAATGGGGTCAACATGCAAAACCCACACAGACAGTAGCCCTACCTGGAATCAACTTTCTTTAGACACCCTCTCATCAATGTTGTAATAAAATGACATTTAAATGAAAGATTATTCGAGGATCTGCTGTATACCCTACCAACATACCATGACTGTAGTTCAAAGATGTCTGAAGTGGTTTTGTTGTGTCCCCACCCATATCTCATCTTGAATTGTAGCTCCCATAATTCCCACGTGTTGTGAGAGGGACCCAGTGGGAGATAATTGAATCATGGGGTCGGTTTCCTTCATACTGTTCTCTTGGTAGTGAATATATCTCAAAAGATCTGATGGTTCTGTATGGGGTTTCCCCTTTTGCTTGGCTCTCACTCTCTCTTGCCTGCTGCCATGTAAGATGTCCCTTGCCCTTCTGCCACGATTGTGAGGCCTCCCCAGCCATGTGGAACTGTGAGTCCATTAAACCTCTTTCCTTTGTAAATTACCCAGTCTCAGGCGTGTCTTTATTAGCAGCATGAGAACAAATGAAAACAATGCCTATGCAGGCAAATTGCCCAGCATTTTTTGGAAATAAGAATTCAGAACAAAAGTCTAAAAATCCGGTCAATAGCACAATGTTTCCATAAGCTATAGCATGGGATGTGATATGGAATACTCACTTGTATTTTCCAGCTTTTCAATACTACACTATAATTAAAAGCTACTAGAAAGCAATCATCGTATCCCAGGACAATGCATTTCATTCTCTTGCAGAATACATGTTAGCCAGAGGTCAACTCGTGTCCTGTGTCTTGCCTTTCACAAGCTACCTTCCCAGGCTGAACGATGAGTGTGCATCTTTGACATGGCCATTCTTCTTGCAGAGCAAAGGGTGAGAAGTAGGCGGAACTAAGGCAGTGGCTCCCAGAATGCCTGCTTGGAAACAGAGTATGTCATTTCCACTCACATTTCAGTGACCAGAGCAAGCTGTAAGTAAGATCATGCCTGGCTTTAATGGGACGGGGAGTATCATTCTTGCATGGGAAATTCCTGGTAATGACGGGTCAAGTTATGTTTGCAATAATACACTCTGGCACACATTGCGTATGATGATAGGAGAACCAGTTAGAGTAAGAGGGAAAGGAGATAAAGAATAAAAGCTAAGGTTTCTTGAGAGTTCCCCATGGGCTAGTAACCATTTTTCTTTCTTTCTACGCATTCCTCTTGCTTACTGACTCTCGCAGCCCACTCACAGTAGCTGCCGAAGAGTTTAAACTCATCCAGATTAAAATCAAAGCAACTGTGCTATGCACTAGGAGACGTGTGTGTAAATCAATTGAAATGGCAAATTGCAAACATGTATATATATAAAACAGTTGCCGAAAGCTACAATCTTTTTTTTTAAATCCTCAGTATAATTCTTTACCCATGTTTGTTGGTGTGTATTTCTATGAAAGCTGATAAAACATCTCTAGATATTTTCAGTTAAAGAATGTAGAACAAAGGTACCATTTTTCACATCTAATGAAGTGATATAAAGTATAAAGATTTTAGAAGATTCTACCATCAAAAAAGGATGATATATAATCCCATAGTATCAGTTTATTAATATAATCCTTATAATCAAATAAGAAACTGAGAATTCTGCTGGCCTGAACAGAAGTCTCCCCCCAGATTCTCAAAGGTACCACAAAATAGACAGATAATAAAGAAAATATACAAAAAAATAGATGCAGGCTAGCATAAACAGTGTAGAGAAAATTCAAGTTAAACCTTTAGTCTGAAAGTAAAATTAAGAAATAAGATAGGTAGAGAAGAAAGGTTCTCAGATATAGTAAGATTTTGGATGAGTGTCCTACTATAGTCCACTACACAAAATTTCATTCATTAAGATTCAATTTTGGCATAGGCTTATTATATAAAAGGTTTTAATTGGAAAATGTTTATCATCGATGATTATGTATCTATACATATATATTTTTCTTTACCTTCCTTATTTGTGTTTTTATGTACTTCTGGATCTATCTATATTTTCTAAGATGAAAATTAAATATTCCTTTGGAAAATGATGATTATCTCAATTTAACCATCATGTATTCATATTTATATCTGCCATGAATTATGTGTTTTTTCGGAGTAGGTCACATGACTAATGTGTTGTGTGTATTGGTGTGTGTGTATATGTGTGTGCATACATGTTCATGGGAATCAATGAGGTGATGCATGTGAAAACATTCCACTTGCAGAATAAAAAACATTTATTCCATAAATCCATAAACCACCAAATATACCCATATATAAAGAATATAAGGCTGGCATGTATAAAGTAACTCTCCCCTTTGAGTCACAAATGAGACCTGTGTCTATTAACCTTTAGTCTCCTTTTCTTCCTGTGTAAGCATAAAAATGTTATTTTTAGCACACTGCCTTGGGTTTACATGTGTATAGCAATCATCGCCCTCAGACGTGATGTCCAGCATGAATAATGAACATGGCTGTGATGTGCAGGCACCCTCCTGGTGACCAAAAGCATTCGTTTTTCTTGAAAATACCTACCCTTAATTTCAATCACTTCAGTAAATTACTGCCATCACTTCACAGCTATTACTTAAAAGATCAACATGGTGAGTACCAAATTCAATAATCATTTGATAAAGTGAGATATTAGCATATAAGATGCATTAATTTTCATAATGCAATTAAGCCTTAAAATGTTCTGAAGATCCATTGTTAATTGTTTTAAATTGTTTAATCAATGTGTACCTCTGAACCTCTAATTTTCAGTTACAAGCAATATGAATTTGCCACAACAACAGAACTAATTTCAAAATATAGCATCTAATCTCATAATGGTTACATGCAATATCAAATTTAAAATAAGTCGGCACCCAGAAGGAAAAGGGTTTAAAATACTGCTTCATTAGCATTGTACTGTGTAAGCCTAAAATGTTCCATAATTCTGGCAGAGTACCTAATTCATATTTAATCCCATTTAAAATATTCCACTGAATAAATTAGACTTTAAGGGAGCTATTCAAATTAGGTCTTAAAAAGATAAACAGCATTGGAAAATTCAGGCAAAGAACAACTACCCTGTTTGGCCACAAGTCATTATTGTGTTCAGGTCTGCGATCAATATGGACTCAGTTACTAGAAATAATGAAAATCGTAAGACTTCACTCCAGTAGCTTAATATGTTTGCAAGATTTATTATGCTATATTAACCAAAAAGAGATTATACTATTGTATGTGAAGGTGCTATTATTTTAGAATTGAGAAGGCTCCCATTTAGATACATGAAAAGAATATTGATAGATGGAGAAAGGACATTCGTTCTCATAATAAACCGATAAAGAATTAAGCAATTTTGGGCAACAGCATAATTCTGACATTGAGGCTGGGCGTGGTGGCCCCTGTAATCGCAGCACTTTGGGAGGCCGAGGCAAGACAATTGCTTGAGCCCAGGAGTTTGAGACCAGCCTGGGCGACACAGTGGGACACTGTTTCTGTAAACAATTTTTTTTTAAATTAGGCAGTGGTGGAGGCACCCACCTGTAGTCTCAGCTACCGGGAGGCTGAGGCGGGAGCACTGCTTGAGTCCAGGAGGTCAAGGCTGCAGTGAGCTATGATCACATCAGTGTGCTCTAGCCTGAATGACAGAGCGAGATCCTGCCTCATCCCTCCAAAACGAATAATTCTGACAATGTTTATGAAGACGTTTATCCCTAGTAAGGAAGAGAAACATCATAGTATATGAAAAACAGAGTCCTGGGTATTAGTCCTTGATTGAATTGTTCCTCCTTTATTGTGAGCCACACAGTTCTCCTCTTTGACCTTTAGTTTATTTGGCTCTTGCTGGGATTGAAATGCATTTCAACAATCCCTTTTTTGCTCTAAAATGATATAGTGCTATAATCGCTTTCAAGTAAAGTTATCCATGTGAGCAATAAATTCTGTTGTTTATAATCCACAGAGTTTATGGTTTTGTGTTAAAACAGTCTGAACTAGCGAAGACTGGTCATCACTGTTTTATTGCATCCAACATGTGAGTGTGTATTTATTCATTTTTTTCTCTGTCTGTTTTTAGGGTCAGGAGAAAGGATAGGAGACAAGGGGCGATGGAAAGCAACACATTGCGGAGGCTCAATTGTATTTCTGGTTGTGGCTTTGCAGAGAGCCTTGAAGCCATATGAGTGGGTCTCCAGATGCATGGTGCCTAAAAAACAAGAGAAGCATTGTGTGTTTTTCCAATTGCAGCTGCCACATATCACCACATGGACACTGTGCACCTCGAGGATGGGAAGCAAAAGAGATAACCCTGAAATCAACAAGATGCAGATATTAATCATCCCTCTTTGAAGGGAGTCTCCCTACTTCCCATCTATTCCTCATTAAGAGGAAATGACTCAGCGTTCCTCACAGTGCTTCTCCGTTTCTCCACTAAAGTTTCTACAAAGATGAAGTCAAATTTCCCTATATCCAAAATAATAACAACAAAGCACAAAAAATAGAAGAACATCCAAAACCGAGGCTTGGGTTAGTCCAGTGGACATACAAGAAGGCTTACCAGTAACTACCAGGCTACACAAGATGACTGAGACATACAGTTAGGGGCAACCCACACACACCCATAGCAGGTGTCCTCAAACCCTGGTCATGGACCAGTACTGGTTCATGGCCTGTTAGGAACCCCGGCACATAGCCAGTAAGCAGTGAAGCTTCATCTGTATTTACAGCTGCTCCCTATCACTTACATTACCACCTGAGCGCCATCTCCTGTCAGATCAGTAGCAGCATTAGATTCTCATAGGAACTCCCATTGTGAAATGCACATGTGAGGAAACTAGGTTGTGTGCTCCTTATGAGAATCTAATGCCTGATGATCTGTCATTGTCTCTCATCACCCCCAGATGGGACTGTCTAGTTGCAGGAAAACAAGCTCAGAGCTCTCACTGATTCGACATTTTCATGAGTTGTATAATTATTTCATTATATATTACAATGTAATAATGATAGAAATAAAGTGCACGATAAATGTCATGCACTTGAATCATTCTGAAACCACCCTCCCCCATGGCCCCAGTCTGTGGAAAAATTGTCTTTCATGAAACCGGGCCCTTATTGGGCACTGCTGCCCTATAAGACCATGGGTTCCATGACAGTAGATGTATGTGTGAGTGCTGGAATGGATGGACCACCTCCCACAAACATACAGCACTCACTATGTGTTCTTTAATTTAACATATGCTAATTGGCCACATATTAGTTTCTTGCAGCTCCTCTTACAAATGACCACAGACTTAGTTGCTAAAAGCAACACAAATGTATTAACTTACATTTTGAACACTATATTACATACTTGAAGTTTGCTAAGGGAATAGATGTTCTCACCACACACACACACACACACACACACACACACACAAACACACATACACACACACTTCTGAAGACCAGAAGTCAAAGTGGATTTCACTGGACTGAATCAAGAATGGAGATTATGGAGGGGAGGGGGACATAGGGAGATGCTGGCCAAAGGATCCTAAGTTTCAGTTCTGCACGATGAATAAATTCTGGAGATCTGTGTACTGCATGGTGACTCTGGTTAATAACACTGTTGATGGCTGCTGCGAGACCTCTGTTCTTCTCTTCTTAGTTTAAAAGAATTTAAACAAGAGACACACAGCAAAGGAGATACAGCATAGAGTAATTTATTGCAAAGGAAAAAGAATATTTTGAAAGTTAAGTGCAGAGTAGACAGTACATCCCGAGAAAGAGAGGATTCATGGTGGGCTGCTCTTAAGGGTGAGACAGTATTGATTATTGCTGGAGAAACTCCCTTTATGGGAGTCTTACATGATGATTCATAAGGAGATGGGAAGAGGTGTTGTCAGTAAGCATATTCTGGGTGGTCCTCTGGGTGCACATGCCCAGTAGCTGCACATGCTTGTTCATTCATTGCAGGTCTCATTAGCATCTTAAATCTCCACCCATGGTTACGTATTTTACTATTATAACAAGCCAAGGGTCAGTTGATGACAGGTAAAATCAAAGTGGGCATTCTCTGTACAGGGTAAAGTCCCTACTGAAGATAGTTTGCTTGAATGAGCTTAATCACAATATCAATACGGAGGCTTATTGTGTTGATTGTACAGTCCCCACGATTGCTGCATCCCCAGGACATGGTCACTTTCTTAACTACCTATCCTGCCTAAACACTATATTACATACTTGAAGTTTGCTAAGAGAATAGATGTTCTCACCACATACACACACACACACACACACAGATAAGTATGTGAGGTGGTGGACATGTTAATTAGCTTGATCATTAACATCATTTCACAAAGTACACATATATAAAAACATAACATCATGTACTGTAAGTATATGTGTGACGGTCAATATTGAGTGTCAACTTGATTGGATTGAAGGATGCAAAGTATTGATCCTGGGTGGGTCTGTGAGGGTGTTGTCAGAGGAGATTAACATTTGAGTCAGTGGACTGGGAGAGGCAGACCCACACTCAGTCTTCGTGGGCACCATCTCATCAGCTTCCCATGTTGCTGGGATAAAAGCAGGCAGAAGAACCTGGAAGGACTAGACTGGCTTAGTCTCCCAGCCTACATCTTTCTCCCATGCTGGATGCTTCCTACTCTCAAACACTGGACTCCAATTTATTCAGCTTTTGGACTCTTGGACCTCTGACCACAGACTGAAAGCTGCGCTGTTGGCTCCCTTACTTTTGGTGTTTTGGGACTCAGACTGGCTTCCTTGCTCCTCAGCTTGCAGGTGGCCTATTGCGGGACTTCACCTTGTGAAGTCATTATCCTGTGAGTCAATACTCCTTAATAAATTCCCCTTTATGTATCCATCTATCCTATTAGTTCTTTTCCTCTAGGGAACCCTGACTAACACAATATGCAATTCTTATTTTTTATTTACACTTCAATAAAGCTAAAAATGTCAAAAAATAATAAAGGCAAAAAACTGTGAAGTAGATGCTACTCTGCCCCCTAAAACCAGAGCTGAGGTAGCTAAATTCGCCCATAAGCACTAAAGTGAAGGAAGTTGTGCCTATAAACCACACATGGGCATCATTCATTCCCAATAAATTGAAACAACTGAAGCCAATGGGAAAATGTGATAAGCAGAACTAATATGGACTGAATGTCTGTCTCCCTTCAAATCCTTGTGTTGAAACCTTCACTCCCAAGGGGATGGTATTAGGGACTGGGGTCTCTGCAAGATGATAAGGTCATGAGGGTGGAGTCTCATGAATGGGATGAGCGTCCTTGTAAAATGGACCTCAGAGAGCTCCCTTGCCCCTTCCACAATGTTATGAGACAGCAAGAAGGTGCCCTCTATGAACCAGGAAGTGGGTCCCCATCAGCCACTGAATCTGTCCCACCTTGACCCTGAACTTCTAGTATCCAGAACTGTAAGCAATAGATTGCTGCTGCTTATAATCCACCCAGTGGATGCCATTTTGTCATACTAGCCCCAACAGACTTAGACAGGAACTTCAGCACATGGTTGTATATTCTCGTTTAACTCTCTGTGTAAAAAACTGCTATTTGATCAGAGCAAATTTTCTGATTTGAGAAACATGGTTTCTAACATTTGTCTCTGAAGATTTAGCCAAAGGGTTAAGATGTTTCTGTTAATCTTTAAAATTAATTTTTTTACAACAGTAGTTGTTATCTCATTACAGTTTATCTTTGTACCAAAATATTATAGTAACAAAATGGAATGCTTGAAAGAAAAATGTCCGATGGAGTCTATAAAAAATCATCCTCTTTTAGTATTTCTGCACCGACTAAAGCAAAATGTTGGAAGATTAATGTGGTCAAAAAACCATTTGGGGATAAATTGTTTGAAATATGAGTGTACTTTACATAAAGTCCTTTCTCCATTAAAAAAATGTTCTTGGTCACAGAGGATACACAATTCTAAGGAAATCAAAATAACCATACCTGGGGTCCTGTTGTCTTCAATTACTCTATCTGGATTGGTAATGACATTGAGCATCTTTCCTTTGTACACTTTTGGTTCCGATGTAAATAAACATTTTCAGTTTTTCAAATCTTCAATAAAATCCAAGCCACTATCTGGGTCTCAAAGGCAGGGCTGGGGATAACAGTAAGCATGTTTTTTTTGTGTGTGTGTGGGCCACAAAAAAGCTCTTGGCCCCCAAAAGGTTTGCTAAAAAATCACCAGCATGAGGTAGATTGATTAATAGGAGAAAAGACATACAAATTTATTTAATGTGTGTACATGGAAGCCTTCAGAATGGAGACCCCAAACCCCACGGAGGTCCAGAAGCTTAAATACAGTCTTGAGGTTGTAGAAAGAATGGGGGCTTGGATCCTGGTAGAGCAGTGTATTAGTCTTTTCTCATGCTGCTGATAAAGATATACCCAAGACTGGGTAATTATAAAGAAAAGAGGTTTAACAGACTCACAGTTCCACGTGGCTGGGGAGGCCTCATAGTCATGGCAGAAGGTGAAAGGCACATCTCACGTGGCAGCAGGCAAAGAGAGAATGAGAACCAAGCCAAAGGGGTTACCCCTTGTAAAACCATCAGATCTTGTGAGACTTTTTCACTACCATGAGAACAATATGGGGGAAACTGGCCCCATGATTCAATTATCTCCCACCCAGTCCCTCCTACAACAGGTGGGAATTATGGGAGTTATAATTCAAGATGAGATTTGGGTGGGGACACAGCCAAACTATATCAAAGAGGTTATGAGAAGGGGAGAAAAAGAATTCTGTGGAAGGGAAATAAATGATTGTTAGGGAGGATAATTGAGTATGATTGAATGGGGAACAGAGATTAACCTATAAATACTTCTTTTTGGGTGACTTAATTTAAATGATCTTTAGAGCTAGTCATTATAAAAAGGTCTCCTCAGGTGTAGTCACACCTTGGCCTTCTTTTCTGCAGTAAATAATGAGAGAGTAGAGAAGTGTAGAAAGAACAACTGTTCTCTTTGGTGGCTCTGAATCTTAGGCAGACAAAGGAACTTCAGCTTCTTTGGGAGAGACAGCGAGGGGTGTGGGGAGAGGTCAGAGAGACCTTGAAGATTCTTCGCTTCAGCATGTCAAAACAACATGGAGAATAAGTTTCTAGGCTCCGATGTTTTCAATAATAATGTTTGGGAAGAAGCCCGTGTATAAAATAATCCTTGGCATTCAGAAGACAGACATGAGAACATCAAGACTGGAATAGAATTTTGAGCTCCTGGCCGGGCATGGTGACTCATGCCTATAAATCTTGGAGGCTGAGGCAGGTGGATCATCTGAGGTCAGGAGTTCGAGACCAGCCTGGCCAACATGGTGAAACCCTGTCTCTACTAAAAATACAAAAATTAGCCGGGCTTGGTGGCATGCACCTGTAATCCCAGCTACTCAGGAGGCTATGGCAGGAGAATCACTTGAACCCAGGAGGTGGAGGCAGCAGTGAGCCGAGATCATGCCACTGCACTCCAGCCTGGGCAACAAGAGCAAGACTCTGTCAAAAAAAAAAAACAAAAAACAAAAACAAAAAAACCGAAAAAGAATTTTGAGCTCCAGCTTTATTTGGAATTATTTTCATCAGCAATTTATGGAAAAGCAAGACGATTTATGCTAAAGTTCATTGATTAACTCTGATTAACTCATTTAAAAAAAATATCCTCAACATAGGGTCATGAAATATTCATGAAACATTGCATTCCTGACCAAAGCATGTTCTTCTAGGGAGATGTTCGAGAATGTGTAAATACAAATGAATATATTTCACATGACCTTTCATACATACAAATGAATGCATAAAATATTGATAATCAATCCATTGTAATTCCCCAATTGTGGGCAATAAACAATGGAAGTAGGGGGTCTCATGAAGTGCATGGGGCTGTTCACAGTGATTTAATGCTTGACATTTGTGTGACAGAACATCCCGTCATAGGTATATAATAATAAACAACAGTGAAAACATAGACATGAAGCACAAGCCTGGTTTGGGGATAAGCCCCAGTTTGGTGTTGCTAGAGACTCAAACTATTGGTATAATCTGTTTTGGAACTGTGTCTCTATTAACCACCAGATATAGAAAGGCAAACCTGAGATTAAATGGCATTCCCATAGTAAGGGGATATTGCAATGAATTAATAAGATCTCAGAGCATCTGAAAGCCTTTGCAGAATCTGGGAGTCCAAAATCAAAACAATAGCAACAAACTTCAGGGAAAATAACTGTGATAAGCATGCATTTCAATAGGTGCAGTAGTGGAAAATTAATATCTCTAACCAAAATGTTTCTGATTTTCTTGAGCTATCTTTTTACTTTCAAATATCAGCAGTGCTAATGACTGTCAGCTTTATTGAGGTCATGAGTAAAATCAGAAACTCTACATTTCTCATGCTGATTCAATATGGAGGTTGTTTTCACACCAGCAGCTCTACAGGGTAGGGAACCTTAGGGTTATTCATGTGTGCTTATGAGACGGAAACAGCAAAGAACCTGTACTAGTCCACTTCATACTCATATAAAGAACTACCCGTACCTGAGACTGGGTAATTTATAAAGAAAAAAAGGTTTAATTGACTCAAAGTTCCACATGGCTAGGGAGGCCTCAGAAAACTTCCAATCATGGCAGAAGGTGAAGGGGAAGCAAGGCACATCTTACATGGTGGCAGGAGAGAGAGAGAGAGACCGAAGGGGGAAGTACCACTTTAAAAGTATCAGATGTCATGAGAACCCACTCATTATCATGAGAACAGCATGGGCGAAACCACCTCCATGATCCAATCACCTCCCATCAGGTTCCTCTCTGGATACACAGGGATTACAATTCAAGATGAGCCCGGGGTGAGGACACACAGTCAAACCATATCAGAAGCCGTTTCTCAAAATGCAACACCATTACAATTTTGAAATAATGAGTTCCAATCCCACATTCTCTATTGCATTCCCATTCTATTCATTCCCTGAAGGTCCCTGATTCCTGTGAGCAATGCCAGGTGATAGGGCTGGTCTATAAATCTATCTAAAAGGTAAAATTCTGTAATTCAAAATTCTGGTTGTTCATAGGAGTAGTCCCAGGGTGATCTGCTCTTTGAGAACAGCATAATCTATATTTAAGTATCTAACAGAGAAAGTAAAAAGTCAAATCAGTCCAATTTACTACTTGCGGCAGTAAAATCATATAATAACATCAGAGATGGAATCTATTATAAAAGTAATCCCTAACATTCCTTTATTTTCTTTTTAATTGACAAACAATAATTGTATATACTTATGGTATACAATATGATATGTTGGTGTATGTTTACACTGTAGAATGATTACATCAAGCTAATTCACAAATCCCCAGCTCACATACTCATCATTTTTTATGAGTTTCTTTGTAGAAGGTGGAATTTTCCATGGCATATATAATTAATGTCTCATTTACAAAGCCTATATTTTTATGCACAAACTCGTTTTAGCATCTGTCTAACTTAATTGGTGTGGCAGTTCAAATTGGGCATGTTTGTCAATGATGATAAACAAAGTGGTACAGACTTAGGACAGAAGGCAATGTGTATACTGCTGGTTCAGAAACCGTACTTTGAGAACCCCTGGTTTAAGAAATAGGGAAATCAAATTTTTGAAAAATTTGTAAAGTGATAAGAATGTCATTTGATTTAATTAATGCATGAATTTTTCCCCAAGATTATTGGATATAACTGACTGCCTTAGCTGGGTAATTTCTTAATGACTACGAAGTGAAAACGATGTTTTTACAATTGATATTGCCTCATTTCAGGAAACATCATTATTAAACCCATCAAACATATTAAATAATATCAGTTCAGTACCACCTCTGAAATGTAATTAAAATAACAATTTGTGTTGACTCTTACTTACAGAAAATGTTCTTTGCTGAGGAATACGTTTAATTACTCTATGTAACTATTCTTATAAAGTCAAGCAGTAATATGTTCTTTATGCAAAACAACCTATGACAAAAAGTATTATTCAGCATCCATTATAAAGGAAAGTTTTTCAAACTAAATTGAAACACTAACAGTCAAAACACGTTAGCTGGGTAAACCGACAGCCATACCTGTATGACAGAAAAACTGAACTGGTAATTTAGGCATAGAGCAAAACTCTGGAGCAAATGACACAGCACTTCTGGATGAGTACAAGGATGTTCTAATAAAAAGCCCTTCTGAAAAGTCGAGCCTAGTGTTATTCTAAATATTATAGGGAAGCTTGCTGCTTTAAATAAATTTCCAGAAGATTATTTCACAGCATAATTAATCCGTTCATCATCTCTCCTTTCTAAATTAAACTGAAATCATTGCCTCAAATTTGTAGAAATGCAAGGAAATTAAAATAGTTTTCTAAATGTGGAATATAGGCACAGTAGACCTTCCCAGTTCAAAAAAAATCATTTTCTATTTAATATTAAAATTTTGCTTTACAGAATAAAGCTGGTGTTTGATTTCTTTGAACATTCTCCTCTTTCATGACAATTGCCTCTATTTTTACTTCAATATTCTGGGAAACCTCGATTAGTCTGAAGGGACTTAACTGCCATCTGTAAATAACATTTTCCAAACATCTGCTGATAAACTATTCTCTTTTGATTATGCAATGACAGTGGCATGTGCGTGCATGTATTTATCAATGCAAAATGTAAATACCAACACTTGACCAAGGCAAGTAATCAACAGACCTTATTTCTTTTTCTTCCCAACACTCTGTTTCCTTAACACGGAACTAAACATGTTTTCAAGAAAATTCTCCAAGATATTTCTGTAAAGACACTGCCATCTTCCTATAATTGCATGAAATATGTCCTCAACCATATGTGTTACACCTACTGCACTAAACATCAGAGCGTAGCCTAGCCTACCTTAAATGTTATCAGAACACTTACATTAGCCTACAGTTGGACAAAATCATCTAACACAAAATCTATTTCATAAGAAAGTGTTGAATACCTTGCATAAAAAATTAATATTTGTGTGCTGAGATTGCAAATAGGTACTTGTTCATGCTTTTTCATTTTAAATTTATGATTATTTTACTGAATGCATCTCCCTAAAGTTAGAAACCACTATTTCCCATGTTCCTAACTAAAATTTGGAGAAATCAGAAAGAACACAAAGCAATATTTTGCTGCTTACATGAATGAGTCAGATATAGAATATTTCTAAAAATTTTCTACAAAGCATGCTTAAATCAAAGAGAGATGTTTATTTTCGTCAATGGTAATATAGAAAAGTAAGAATTTTGTGGAAAAGTCATAGTTTAGTTTTCCCAGAAAACTGTCCTGAGTCAAGGCATCTCTTTTAGAAGTAGTTTGAAAAATCACTCCAGGAAACATCATCAGTGCTGTAGTGGAGGGACACAGGAGCTCAAGTGAAGTCAATAATAGGTCCATTTTCATGTTCTTATCCACTTGGGGTAAGTGGGGAACAGTCTGTCTGTGAAACTCTGGAATCCAGTGTAAATGAGTTTTGGAATTAACTCAACTGAGCAGCAAAGGAGTTAGGGGTGTATATCTACCAACTCTCTGTCATTGATGGAGGGCTGTTTCCACGACATTAATTGCCTGGGTGGCTTCAGGCTTGCCCATTCTGTGGTCAACCATGCTATGCTGGCCAGGAAAACAACAACACAACAACAGCCTGGGCGTGGTGGCTCATGCCTGTAATCCCAGCACATTGGGAGGCTGAGGCAGGCAGATCACTTGGGGCCAGGGGTTCGAGACCAGCCTGGCCAACATGGAGAAACCCCGTCTCTACTAAAAATACAAAAATTAGCCTGGCATGGTGGCACACACCTGTAATCCCAGCTACTCAGGAGGCTGAGGCAGGAGAATCGCTTGAGCCCAGGGGGTGGAGTTTGCAGTGAGCCAAGATCATGCCACTGTACTCCAGCCTGGGTGACTGAGCAAGACTCTGTCTCAAAAAACAACAAAACAAAACACAAAACAAACAAACAAAAACACAACAATGAAACAAGAACAAAGAAAATTACCAGGCAAAGAGTCATGTTTTTCACAGTAAGAAAATTTTTACTGAGTGTGGTGACTCATGCCTGTAATCCCAGAAATTTGGGAGGCTGAGGCAGGAGAACCTGGGCGACATTATCAAAACCCCATCTCTACAAAAAGTAAAAAAATAAAAATTAGCCAGGAGTGATGATGTGTCCCTGTAATCCCACCTACTCAGGAGGCTGAGGCAGGATGATAACTTGGGCCCAGGAGGTTGAGGCTGTAGTGAGCTATAATCTCACCACTGTATGCCAGCCTGGGTGACAGAGTGAGATCCTGTGCAAAGAAAGGAATAAAGAAGGAAGGAAGGAAGAAAGGAAGGAAGGAAGGGGAGGGGAGGGGAAGGGAAAAGAAAAGAAAAGAAAGAAAGGAAGCAAAAAGAAAAGAAAGGAAGGAAGGAAAAGAGAAAGGAATGAAGGAAGAAACAAAGGAAAGGGAAGGAAAGAAGAAGAGAAAGGAATGAAGGAAGAAACAAAGGAAAGGGAAGGAAAGAAAGGAAGAAAGAGAGAAAAAAGGAGAAAAGTTTTTCTATATATAGCTGAATGCCATGAAATATGAGCATCATTTTCATCAAAGTTACCTTTGTTCCAAAGTTGGAACTTCACTTTCCCATTTTCCTTTCATTCTGAAAATGCCAGAGTAAACAAAATAGTCAGCATCGCTTATGTGTTTAGAGAATTACATTGGGAATGGTAGAAGACACAGGAGCAGACGGATAAAAAAAACCTAAGGTTATCTTAGGAGTTGCCTGAAAGAGCAATGAATGATAAGAATCATCAAATAAGAGTGAAAGCAAAAGGAAAATAAAGAAGGGAAATTGACAAAAGGAGGGAAAAAAAAGATCCTATTAGTTTGGGACACTGCCAATCTCTATGGATGTGAAACAAACATCTTTCTTAGGACTCAGAAGTTCCATTCCTAGGGATAGATCCAACACAATGAAAGGAGAGTCCACCAAAAGATAAGTGTGCACCATACGCTGGGCACAGATGGGCAATGGCTCTCTTCTGGTGCTTTGTTAAATACTGTATATGGCTCCTGCTCTCCTTCAGCGTTGTTGGTTGAATTTTGTATTCAAATATAGAGTATCTTCCAGGTTCTTCAAGTCCTTCCCAGGCTCCAGATCCTTCCTGAGATTCCATGTCTCAGTTTTCTTCTTCCTATTATTTTTACCCCTCAAGACTAAGGAACAGGTGACCGAAAATATTTAGGAGTCCTGGCTCTGTGCTCAATCTCCTGCTCTTTAGAGCTTTATGCAAAAATATTCCCCGTAACTTTCTTCATTTTGCTTCAGTGTACTTAGCATTTGGGAGATGTGTCAAATTGCTACAGCTTTTGAAATTTGCACTTTGTTGTGTCTATACTCTGAGGGGACACAAATACCCCTCAATCTCTTGTTGACTAACTCTTGATTACCATATACTAAACTATTTCACAAGTATTTACTGAGCATCAACTATTCTCAGGCACTGCCATACGGTCTGCGAGTATGGATGTGAATAAACAGGCATAATTCTGTCATTTACGGAGACCATATTTTACTGGAAGAGGCAAGAAAATCAGCAAAAAGTAGATTAGGTAAAGATATTCTATCTGCCTATCTCTCAATCTATCAATCCCTATATCTATCTATCTATCTATCTATCTATCTATCTATCTATCTATCTATCTATCTATCCATCTGTCTGTCTATCTATCTACCTATCTCTCTATTATCTACCTAAGTCTGGTTCTCTATCATCGATCTAAACATCATACCTATCTATTCACTATTCTATCTATCCATTTATCCTCTTTAAATATAAATCTATCTAGCTATCCATCTATTATATCTATCTATTCATCCATCATATCTATTATCTATCTCATCTATCAATTTTCTATCCATCTTTAGATCTCTCTGTCCATTTTTCTATCTATCAACCCATTAACCTAGCTAGCTGGCTATCACCTATCATATCTATCTACTTAATCATCATATCTCTCATCTATCTATGTGCCTATGTATCTATGTATTTATGTATCTATAGATCTATGTATGTATGTATGTGTCTATCTATATATCTATCATCTATTATCTGTCTATGTTTGTCTTTCTCTATATATATATCCATCTACATATCTGCTTATCAACTTACCAGTTATCTATATATTTAACATATCTGTCTGTCAATACATAAATACATCCATTTATCTATTTGTCCACCTACTTATTTTCTTTACTCTTATTTATTTCCAACCTAGTCCCCCTTCACTGTGATCAAAAACATTTAACTAACTCATAATAGGTATCATTTTCCTAAATCTAGATTTCTTTATTTTTATTTAAATTCCAACATTATTTTACACACTTAGTGACTGCACAAAATTTTAATGGCATTTCTAGTATCTCAAATGCTATGATTAAATTATCAAAACGTAATCGTAATAATAATATTACCTAAATCTCAAATCAGAATTTTATAAATGAAACTGTGAGTAACGACTTAGAGTCATTTCAGTTGATGAAATTCAACATATCATTTATTGTTAGTCATTCTGTCATTATTCATCACCAGTAAAGAATGTTCATCACTCTTTGGAGTCAGCAAACAAATAGTGCTTTGCCCCAAATTATCTTCCACTGTATGCCTGAAGGTATTTAAATGTATGAAAACAATGTATTTTACATTTCAGTGCAGATGAAAAAGTTTTAGTCTATTTAAATCGTGTTCATATCGTTCAAAGAACAAGCTGAGTTTTATGCTCTCATATACATTTTCAATATTAAACAAAAATAAATAGGAATTCCACTAACTTTAGTTGAATAGAATGAAAAGAAAAAACAAAAATGACAGTTACTAGGTCTCCAATTTTCTAGTAAAATAATATAATATTTAAAGTAGTATTTTAGCTAAGAATGAAGCACACATATATACTTAAGTGTGTCAGTTTTTACAATATCTAAGTTCATTTTCACACACTATGGGGGGAGGAGAATGTAATTGCTGTCAAAATATATTGTGTTTATAACACTTAACACTTAAAGAGCTGATGGATGGTCTCTGAGAATTGCTCATGCTTGCTTGAATTCGAACTCATTATTGTCACAGCCAAATCTCTTATAGTTAGATTCTTCTCTTTAATTTTCTCATCTGGATTGAAGATATTAATGCTTTCAGTTATTGCAACTTTAACCAGAGCCTGGCATAGTGACAGAGTCTCATTGTTCTGTTGAAATAACTTCTCCCACTTTATTTTCTTTTTAAACATTTTTATGAACTAATTTTAAAAGATTAACTTCATTCTTCATATTAATTTTTTGCATTGGGAATTGAAACACTAATCTTAATAGTAATAATAAGAAGAAAGTATCCTGATATAGACACATTAAGGAAGGAAAAGTAAAGCAAGAACACATTTTTTTTATTTTGAAGAGCTCAAAAGAGAAGCTTAGAAAAATGAAAAAATCAGAAAAAGTGGAGAAATCAGAAAAAGAAAACTTATTCTTGTAAAGCTAATTATAAAAAGTTAGACAACTGTAGCTTATTTTAGGAAGACAGAGATTTGGCCATTAATTTGGAGTGTTGTCAGTGGGAAGATGTCTAACATGCATTTTGGATAATTTGTGCATTATGTCGATATAGATACACAGTAAGTGCATTAGTAACAAATTAGAGACATAAAAGTTGCCAGCAGTGATGGGAAGTTCAGGAAAAGCCACCTAATGCAGTTGAAATACCTCACCGGCATCTCTTTGCAATGAATTGTGTTCAGTCATCGTCTCTTTGTTCCCAGACCACATCCACAGTATACGTCTTTTATTCTCAACAGGAATTTCTACTAGCTAATTTATCATGCTGAATCCAGACTATTACCCCTAGCTATTCTCTCCCTGCCTTTCATGTCATGATCAATGGCTTAGGTGCAAGTTGCACTCCCAATTCACCCTGCTTTTATGTATTATGATGTGGACACATTATTTAATCACCTCATTTTCCTATGTCAGAATATGCGGAAAGTAATTAATGTATACAAAGGATTGTTGTGAGAAATAAATAACATAATATAGATAAATGGTTTATGCATGTTGGGCACATAACAAATATCCAATAGATATTACTGTAGTGAGTAAAAATTAAATTTACAAATGATGTAAATTATACAAGAAAACACACAATTATATTTACTTAAAAATCAAGATGAGGGCCTGGCGTGGTGGCTCATGCCTGTAATCCCAGCACTTTGGGAGGCAGAGGTGGGTGGATCACAAGGTCAGGAAATTGAGACCATCCTGGCCAACATGGTGAAATCCCGTCTCTACTAAAAATACAAAAATTAGCCGAGCATGGTGGCAGGCGCCTGTAGTCCCAGCTACTCGGGAGGCTGAGGCAGGAGAATCGTTTGAACCCGGGAGGTGGAGGTTGCAGTGAGTCGAGATTGCACCACTGCACTCCAGCCGGGGTGACAGAGCAAGAGTCCATTTCAAAGAAAAAAAAAAAAATCAAGATGGGCCTGGTGTGGTGGCTCAAGCCTGTAATCCCAGTAATTTGAGAGGCCCAGGTGGGTGGATCACTTGAGGTCAGGAGTTCAAGACCAGCATGGCCTACATGGTGAAATCCCCTCTCTACTAAAAATACAAAAAAATAGCTAGGCATGGTGGTATGAGCCTGTAGTCCCAGGGACGCTGAGGCATGAGAATAGCTAGAACCCAGGAGGCAGAGGTGGCAGTGAGCCGAGGTCATGCCACTGCACTACAGCCTGGGTGACAGAGTGAGATGCTGTCTCAAAAAAAAAAGTCAAGATGAACGAGAAAGAAGATATCAGGCATTTTTGGCAGCCCCTAGTCAGGAGAGCATAAGATTTAAGGAATAGGTCACATGAAGTATTCAGGAAGGGTGCTACTTATCTTTCTGCAATATATGCCTTTGCTATATACCAGACTATATAGCAGAAATAAATCCAGCAACCAGATGGCAAATGTTGGCATTAATGACAGATGATTTGCATGTAGTATTTTTCTGTTAAAATATTGGATGTCTAAAATATCATAGAGATTCTAATTAAGTTATCATTCTCATGTTTAGTTTGTTTTGTAACACCAGACAGACACAAACACACATACACACACACACTGATATGGTAAGGATTTGTGTCGCCGCCCAAATCTCATGTTGAATTGTAACCCCCAGTGTTGAAAGATGGTTCCAGTGGGAGGTGTTTGGATCATGGAAGTGGATTTCCCCCTTGTTGTTCATGTGATAGTGAGTGAGTTATCAGGAGATCTGGTTGTTTAAAAGTGTGTAGCACCACCCTCCCTCCCTGTCTTCCTCCTGCTCTAGGCACGTAGGATGTGCCTGCTTCCCCTTCACTTTCTACCATGATTATAAGTTTCCCAAGGCCTCTCCAGCCATGCTTCCTGTACAGCCTGCAGAACCAAGCACCCATCAAACCTCTTTGTTTTATAAATTATCCAGTCTCAAGTAGCTCTTTATAGCAGTGTGAGAACATTCATGGCAGAAAAAAAAATTTCTATTCTGCAAGCTAAGATCTCACCTATATAAACTGGAGAAAGAAGAACAATTACACAGAAAGCAAACAAATGGAAAGAAACAATAATTAGAAAAGCAAAAAATCAAAGAAATTAAAAACATAAACAAAACACAAAAGCAAAAAGATAATATTAAAAGATTGACACTATAAAAAAACTAAAACAGTTAAATGGTTAATCATCCATGTAATATTACCAATGAGGAAACAATAACAAAATAATACAAACAAATCACTATCAGAAAGAAAAGAGGGGACATCACTAAGGATCCACCAGATATTAACATAGAATCAAGAGAATACTACAAAAAATCTCGTACTTCAAAAACTTAGGTGAAACTGAGCAATTTCTTGAAAGACACAATTATCCAATCTCAATCAAAATACTATCTTCAATGTTTTATGCATGTACTTTTGAATGATTCGACAGATACTTCTTAATCTCTCCACTCTCATGCAGGTTAGATGTGCAGCTGGGAAACAAACAAGATGATTTCAGAGAGTAGCAGAGACACAGGAGAGTATAATGGGATATTGACTGCAAGGGTTACTCCGTAATAGATAGTCAGGCAAAGCACGTCTGAGAAGGTGACATTTGAGCTGAAATTCTTAAATCATGAAATTTGAAAGGAAGATGACAGCAGATGATGGGGGTTTTCCAAAAGTAGAAGCATTACCAGAAAAGGAGTCCCAATCCAGACTCCCAGAGAGAGTTCTTGAATCTCATGCAGAGAGGAATTCAAGGTGAGTAACAGAGTGCAGTGAGAAGAAATAACTTATTAAAAGCTACTGCATTACAGAATAAGGCGTCTTCAGCAAACAAGTGGAGGAATGTCCTGTCTTTGTTTTAAGTTTTTCTTATCTAGAGGTCTTGCCTATGCAAAGAAAATCTAAGCTGTGCTTACATGCAGGTGGGCTGACAGCATGACAAAATGTATTATCCTATTGATTTAAAGAAAACTATCCTTGACATTTTCGCATGTAACTACAGCAAAGCATAACTATAATAATCTTGAAAGCATATATTGTTATGGGTTTTGAGACATCTGAACTTTCTGTCGAGGGAGTTTGTTCTCGCTGGCACTACCAAGCTGTTTTCTTAGCCATAAATATCTTAAGACCATGGGTCATGACTAGCAAGGAATGTTCCTTGTTAGTCTTAAGATGGAGGAGTACTATTAATATGACATTACTCTGGCTCTCCTAGGCTCCTTCCCTAAAAGAAGGAAGACCACTATATTCTTGTCCAAGAGCAACTCTGATAAGATGAGCTCATTATTGTGCAGGGGCCAAATGATGCATGTTATAAAGCCCAATTTAAAAAATCCTTGGATTTTTATTCTGGGTGATAACCAGTGTTAGATAATTAGAGGGTTTTAAGTTGGGTAGATAGTTGGAGTGGTAGGAAGTAATGTACTCTTACATATGCTTTAAAAACTTAATGGAGAAGGGAACACAGTGGGATCAGCTTTGAAGACAGGGGTGATTTCACTATGTTCCCTATTGCAATAGCCTAGAAAAAGGTGACAGAGATTAAGCATATGCTTGAATTGACTTGTACTCCAGGTTTTGTAACTATTCCAAAGTTATTTCCATCATATTCAAAGGATTATATGAAACTTGTTTTTATCACATGACATTTTCACCCTGTTTCCTCTATCCAGAGCTTTAAAATTATGAAAAAAATATACTCTGTTTCCTCTATCCAGAGCTTTAAAATTATGAAAAAAATATATTTACTCATAATTTTACTATCTAAATGTTTTTGTATTTACTTTTTTATTTTTATTTTTTGTGGGTATACAGATGTATATATCTGTGGGGTATAGGAGATATTTTGATACAGGCATACAATGTATAATAATCACATCATGGTAAATGGGGTATCCATCCCCTGAAGCATTTATCCTTCGTGTTATGAACAATTCAATTATATTCTTTTAGTTATTTTAAAATGTACAATTAAATTGTGATTGACTACAGTCACCCTGTTGTGTTATCAAATACAAGATCTTATTCATTCTATTTTTTTGTACCCATTGGCCATCCCCACTTCTCCCCAACTTTCTCTGTATTGACCTTTTTTTTTTTTTTTTGAGAAAGAGTCTCACTCTGTCGCCCAGGCTGGAGTGCAGTGGTGCTATCTTGGCTCACTGCAAGCTCCACCTCCCAGGTTCATGCCATTCTCCCGCTTCAGCCTCCCGAGCTGGGACTACACGTATTGACCAGTGTTTAAGCTTACTCAGTGACCTATTTGTTTTAACTTTATGTCATTAGCTTACTTTCTTCCTTTGGCATCATCAGGCCATGTGATTTGGTTAACAGATCTATTTAAGAAGCCTTTATTTTTATTAACAATTCAGGTTTTCTTATTCTATTTTAAACCAAGATAGTTTTTCCTCATGTTTTAAGAGTCTCACAATTTATTTTGTATAACTTATAACAGGAACCTTTTTTTTCTCTTCCTGAGATCACCAATAAGTACATTTTTGAATGACATTGCATGGAGAAGAGAAGTATTAATAAATATATCTAAACTCAAAGAAAACTCATGACATTCAAATTAATGCTGGAGAGCTTGTATCTATACACAGTCTTATCTATAGATCAGATCAGTCAGAAAATCACTAAAATACATGAATAACAGCAAGAAAAATGCTGTAAGAGTATGTATGTGTGTAATGAATAATGGGCTTATTTAACATTTAAAATTGATGATATCGTTGCTCTCTACCTATGGAAACCCAACAAAGCAATATGAGAGTCCCCACCTGGATGTAGTCAATTAGTGCAATTAGGCCAATTTCTTTTCTCTCATTATGTTCTTTCTCAGAAAGCCCTTACTAAGGAAATACACTACACCTGAGTTTGTCTTACACTTGATTGTCATTCCTATTCACCCTTAAAAATTCCAGAAAATGATGGAGCTTTTAGGAAGCAGAGAACATTTTGGAGAAAAAGAAATCTTTTTATGAAGTCTTAGAGTAATTTTATTTTTCCCAAATGATTTAAAGATACAATAGATCTAAGTGGTAACTTGGGTTTCAAATAATTAACAATCTATAGCAAAAGACTAATATTTTAGAAATGATTGCAAAACTAAATGCAGCCAGGTTGAAGGGAGACACTAGGGGAGGGGACTAGATGCCACACACCATCACCACCTACAAGTCGTTAGGACGATCTCAATCTCTTTTTTGGTTCTTAACCTGACAGTGGAAAATTAGACAACACCCATAGCCAATAGCCCAGTGGATAGACTGAAACGTGAAACGATTCCAGTTGACTTCCCAGATAGTGGACAATCCCAGAAACGATAGAAATCCAGACGTTAAAACACTCAGGAGTACTAATTGGAACAAATGAATCTGATTTGCCATTGGTGATTAGAAAATGGTGGGGGGAGGGGGGAGGGATAGCATTAGGAGATATACCTAATGTAAATGGCGAGTTATTGGGTGCAGCACACCAACATGGCACAAGTATACATATGTAACACACCTGCACTTTGTGCACATGTACCCTAAAACTTAAAGTATAAAAAATATATATAAAGTAAATAAATGAAACAAACAAAAAAAAGAAAATGGTCATCCTTTATGTTTTCTCTTTCAATTTCAAACGTTTAGAAAAAGTTACCCAGCAATCTGTCCTCTGTGCTATTGAATGCAACTCATTGATGCTGCACTTTCTACACAGTTTAATAGTCAAACGCTTGGGATTTGATAATCACAGCATTGGAGAACAGGAACGTTCCTTACATAAGTGACCATTAGTCCCTAAGAGTGGTTTCTCTCCAGGGCTAGTTCCAATGGTTTTAAATGACATCATTTAGGTCTCTTCTCTCCACTGCCCCTTGGGAAGCAATTTCACACTCAAATAGATCTTACCTTGAAGAATGTCTTGAAGTTTAGCCTGAAAAATATTTTTTGAGGATGACCTCATTACACTTTGAACTCTTTCTTATGTAATTCTTTTATTTCCCCCCTGGCAAGTCAGAAGATGATAAAGATCACTCCCTGAACTTTATAATTTTAGACATGAAGCGAGCTGTGTTAGCTTTGGGAAGTTTACATTTTAACTTTAGTTAGTAAAACTTTCATATTCTATTCTAGCATTAATGGATTTCCATACAACCTGCTTTCCTTACTGTGTGTAGGTTATTCTCACTTTATTAAAAAAACAAAAAACAAAAAACCTCGGTTCTTTATCAGTTTGTTAGACAGACAACTATTGTATTCTTTTTGTTTGTTTGTTTGTCTTTGAGACAGAGTTTTGCTCTTGTTGCCCAGGCTAGAGTGTAGTGGCGCGATCTCGGCTCACTGCAACCTCTGCCTCCTGGGTTCAAGCGATTCTCCTGCCTCAGCCTCCCAAGTAGCTGGGATTACAGGCACCTGCCACCATACCTGGCTTATTTTTTGTATTTTTAGTAGAGACAGAGTTTTGCCATGTTGGCCAGGCTGGTCTCGAACTCCTGACCTCAGGTGATCCACCCGCCTTGGCCTCCCAAAGTGCTGGGATTACAGACATGAGTCACCATACCCAGCCTCAAGTATTGTATTCTTATGACTATGAAAAATGCAAAAATAAGATTTCTAAATACATCTTTAAATGTTAATAATAAATATAAATGGTACTTGTAGATGATGTATACAATTTATACATATATATACATATATATATGTATATGTATATATAACTGCATGGAAGGGTAGAAGGTGGAAGTCTAAATTCCTGCTTAGATAAAATCCATATTTCTTCAGGTAGTCTACTCAGACTCAAAGATCTAGGCCCCAAGACTAAATGAAAGGTCAGACAATTTACACAAGCAAATATTTACATTTGCTAATTGTCTTGTGAGAAAGCTCTTTCTTCTATAAATAGCAGAAATATCCTATGCTTTCCTACCAATCCAGGCTTCCCTGGTAAGAGGGTTTTTTCATTCCTATAAATTTATGCTTCAGCGAAGGCTATGGGAAATGTGGACAGGTGTCCCAGAAAAATGTGTCTTTTAATGTACATTTTTGGTTGAGTAGAAGCAGTAAAAGAAAGTTATACATTTGGAAATAATCTTCTAAAAAATGTGAGATCATGAATGCTGCACTAAAGTAGGTATTTCTTTAAAAAGGCCTACTGGAAATTCTGCCCTGAAAAAAGTCATATTTCTCTCACTCCAATGAAGCAACATGCTGGCTTAATGGAATGGAACTTTAAATAAAGTTAATTTTTTCACTAGAAAACCAATGATCATTATTTCCTGGGTGTTTTCCCTAACAGGAAAACATTTTAGCTGGCATAAGACATGCCTCCACTTAAAAACAAATTCCAACGTCTGCTACATTTTCTTAGCTAGCTTGATCATATTCTTGTATGGTTTATTCACAGATATTATAATGAACATAATTGAAATGTGTCATATGAACCATATTTTCAGAACTGAATAGTCGTTCATTCAACAATGACCAGAGTGGGAAAAACCACTTTACACTTAACATTTTATACTTTACAAGTGGGAGATAGACAATAGATAATGAACATAGTAAGTGAATACATTACATAGGCAATTGAACACTCTTGAGAGGTGTCAGGGGGGAAACGTGGAAAATGGAAACTGCAGATACCTGAGGATGCATTCCTATTAATTTCTATGATGTAGAGATATAAAATAAAACATAATAAAGCAAGAATAACACATTGTATTAAAATAATTGCAACACTAAAAGCAAGGTAAATTGTTTTCCAGGAAAAAAACCAACAAACGCTGATGAGGCTGTGAAGAAAAGGGAACATATATACACAGTTGGTGGGAATGTAAATTAGCACAACTTCTACAGAAAATAGTATGAAGATTTCTCAAAGAACTAAAAATAGAACTGTTCTTGGATCTTCTCCTCTTCATGCTTAATTTCTTTGGAATAATGGAGTTTGTTTCATCTTGTCTCCCCATGAGTAACAGAGCTTGGTCGGTCACTGCCTCTTCATGTTCTTTAGGCTTCCAAAGAGAAAGAATACCAAAAAACCCTGAGACTGGGAATAGCCCCTGCCTTGGGATCTAAAATAATCTAAGCTAGTGATATTAATTACGGTGTTACTCTAATGGTCTAAAGCCAAGATAGAACTGCCTATACTCAGAATATGCCCCATACAGTGGAAATTTTGCTGATTGAAACAAAACAATCAACATATAATTAATTGTTAGAACTGAAAAAAAAAAAGACATGACCAACATCTCAGATGATAAAATCCAACCATGGCTGGGACCAAATTACTAGAACCTCTGGAAGAAATGAGTAGTATGGATTCTGTTTTAGACAAAGCCATCTTCACACTTTCTAGGTTGTGGACTACAAGTATCTCTCCTTCCTTCCTGAACTGAGCTGGACCTCATGTGATGGGTGCTATCCTCTTTGGCCAAAAATAGATGAACTTGTGAGCAAACTGTCCTGATAGTCCTCCCCAATAAGTTTCTTTTGATGCCATATGACTTTCAAAGTAGAAGCAAAGAGTCGATCATGAGGTACTAATTCGTAAAAACCAAAAGAAGCAAAGCAAATGGAAAGACACACACACACGCAAAGAGAAAGAGAGAGAGAGAGGCTGTGTAACAAAGATGTGGGCCTCATTCATTCCTATTTTATCGTAGTCATCCATATTTTAGCTCTGTCTTCTAGCAGTGTGATGTGTTTGTCTTCAAGGAGTCAGTTTGCACCTTGAATGACAATGGAATCTGATTCTTTTTTTTTTTTTTTTGAGACAGCCTTGGATGGAAACTGATTCTACGTGGAGAGACAATAGACTTGCATGGCCAGTGGATATGATACAGGACCATCCTCCTGCAGTGTTATCTACAATTGTATGTGTGCATCTCCATGTAGGTAGAAACATATGAAAGAAAATGCAGTGAAATATTAGCAATGGCTAAATACTATGTTATGTGTTACAAATGAATATATTGCTTAGTTATATTTTCCCATGCTTTTCTTTTTCTACATTGAGCCTTTATTGTTTTTGACCAATAATCAATAAAATATTTTTACAGGGAATTTTTCTTATAACTATATTGCATTTTCCCTTTGTGAAAATGAAATTCAGCATTTTACAATATTGAATTATCAAATGATTCTAATTATAACACATATGTCATTTAATCCTCAAAAGGATTCTAAAAAAACTAAGTAGTATTATTTTCTCCATTTTTCATAACAGGGGATAGATCCTAAGACAGCTTTAAAACATTTAAGAAGAAGGCTGGGCAAGGTGGCTCATGCCTGTAATCCCATCACTTTGGGAGGCTGAGGCAGGTTGATCACTTGAGGTCAGGAGTTCGAGACCAGCTTGACCAACATGGTGAAGCCCCCATCTCTACTAAAAACATACAAATTATCTGGGCATGGTGGTGTGCACCAGTAATCCTAGCTACTCAGGAGGCTGAGGCAAGAGAATCGCTTGAACCCAGGAGGTGGAGGTTGCTGTGAGCCGAGATTGTGCCACTGAACTACAGCCTGGGTGGCAAAGCAAGACTCTGACTCAAAAAAATAAAAAATAAAAAAAATTTTGGAATATCTGCCTTTTAGTAAATGATAGAACTATATTTGGGGAACTAGTATTAATAGCTGAATTTTAGAGCCTAGTTCATAATAGCGTTGTGTCTCAAGCAGTTTATATAGTAATAAATGGAGGTATGCAAGTATGATGGAACCCTTCCAATATTAGGGCCAGAAATCTGTAATTCTCTAAGCATCCAAATCATGTCTGATATAAGCAGACCCAGTACTATATTTGGAGATAGATTACTGCAGCGTGTGGCCATGAAATGATTCCATATTAATATCTCAGCCCTGACTATAAAAACACAGTCCCAGAAAGAATGCCAGTGCATCATAGCTGTGTTGTGATGATGCCACTCAAAGCACTTTGCAGTGTACATGTCTTCTTCCTACATCAGTGGAACTTTGCACTTTAAAATGAAGACACTGAATATTCAGACCATGTCCTGACCATATATAAAAAAGAATTCTGAACTGCAATCTGCAGTGATCAGTCTGCAAAGTTCAACATCATCCATTTCTGAGGAGCTGATTTTAACTATCATCTCTGTAGCAGCCCCAAACCACCAGGACTTGATTAATGACTGACAGCTTCCCTAGTTTCCTCCCCTGCTCCTCAAGCACGACGAAACACAGAAAGCCAGATATGGACCTCCAACCAATCACACAGGATGCTTCATTTTCTTGTGAGCCACCTAGGGCTTCCCAACACTAGCAACCTCCAATGAGGGCACACCGGGGGCCTTTTGTTTTCACACTATAAAACTTTCCGCCTTCTCTGCCTGCCTTTGAATACCATATGCAAGTGATGATGGGTGCCTCCCTTGCTCTAGCAAACCTGGAATAAACATTCTCTCTTTGTCCTCATTTCAGTGGTCTTCATTTATTTCCACAATAATGAAATGAATGCCTCACGAATAACAGCAGTATCACTCCATGACTGGCAAAGTGTCTTAAAGACATTCTAAAATACAGCGAATTGCAGCTCATACTACTCAAAGGATGAAAAACCCCATAGAGCAGTCATGCCATAATTAGAATAGAGTGACTATCATATTCCAAATGTTGGATGAAGCCTGCGTTTTGTTAGACTCACTGACCATCCTCCGTTCCATGTGATACTAAAATCAAATTCAGACAAAGTCATTGCTATTCTGAGTAGATGTAATTAATGGCTTCATAGCTCAGAAACTTCTAATGAGTTTGGTTAAATAAGTAAATAAATAGATTGGTGAAGTACTTGATTGACTAAAGAGATTAAGGAAAATAATTTAGCATGAAATAAAGCTTGTTTAGGAAATCACCTAAAAGTTCAACTTCACCATTGCATTAGTGGTGCTATAAAGAACTGCCCAAACACTGAGTAATATATAAGAGAAAGAGATTTAATTGACTCACAGTTCAGCATGACTAGGGAGGCCTTAGGAAACTTACAATTATGATGGAAGACAAAGGGGAATCTTACCTTCTTCATAAGGCGGCAGGAAGGAGAATGAACATAGGAGGAACTACCAAACACTTATAAAACCATGAGATCTCGTGAGAACTTACTCACTATCAAGAGAACAGCATAGGGGAAACTGTCCCCATGATTCAATTACCTCCACCTGGTGTCTTCCTTGACACATGGGGATTATGGGGATTATGGAGATTACAATTCAAGATGAGATTTGGGTGGGGACAAAAAGCCTCACCATATCAACCACCATATTGGTAGAGTCAACTCCAGTATGTCATTGGGAGTGAACTTAAACATTTTCTAAAGTGAATATTATCATTATATGTTATAATACATTTTGAAATATTGTTATATTTCAGAACTTTTTTAAATTTAGGGAAATATAAACAGAAAAATGGTAGTTACCTCACATCTCACTACCTGGAGATAATTCCTGTTCATGCTTGCATAGAAAGATCTCTGAAAAGAGGAGGAGGCTGGGCACAGTAGCTCACACCTGTAATCCCAGCACTATGAGAGGCAGAAGCAAGATCATCTGAGAACAGACTGAGCAACATAGCTAGACCCCATCTCTACAAAAAAGTTACATATTTAGTTAGGTGTGGTGATCCATCCCTGTAGTCCCAGATACTTGGGAGGCTAAAGAGGGAGGGTCACTTGGGCTCTGAAGGTCAAGACTGCAGTGAGCTGTGATCATGCCACTGTACTCTAGCATGGTTGACAGAGCAAGATCCTTCCTTAAAAAAAAAAGAAAGAAAGTAAAAAAAGGAGAGAGATTTTTTCAAATGACAGACAGAATGAGAGAGCAAACTGTACTGGCTACTTTATATTCTGCTTCTGTAACAGAGTCATGTATTCTTTAAAGTGTATCTTTTAATGACTACATAGTATTCTGTGCTTTGGCTTAGACCACAGTTTACATTTTATAAAATTTCTTTGTTGCATCTCTCACCATTTATCTTCTGTTTCTGGTGTGGGGATGAGAGAGCTGCAGATTTTATCACTGACAAAGCAGAGGGATTGGCATGGAACTCCTTGGGTAATTAGAAATTCTTAATGACTAGCTTCAATCGTGAGGCAAGGTAAATAAACCATCTGTGACTGAGGGCAAGAAATCTCATAGCTCCTGCAAGGTGATAATACTGGAGTGCATTTTCATACCTAGGGAACCATATGATTTAAAAAAAAAAAAAACTGGAAGTGAGAACTGAACAATTTTGTAAAAGGCAAGATGGAAAGGAAGAACTGTGCAATAAAAGTATTTTGCACAGATGAAGCAAAGCCATTTATGTCATAACCTTAGCTTTACACACTGTTTCAGTGATTTAACATTTTACTTACCACTATCTCAAAGTACAGTCAAAGTGATATTGATCTATAATTTTCTTAAGCATAAAGTTCTGGTTTATGCAGGCAAAAAGCTTTCACTAGAAACATGAAATTGTAGTGGGTTGCCCAATTTCTATTTTGTGGAAGAGTTTCTATAATTTTAAAGGTAAATGTAGCTTGAATGTTTCAGCTGGACTTAATAGTATAATATTATAGCCACAACAAGAAAATTTAAAATTAACAAGTCAACTATTTTAAAGGTTGCAGATCTATTCAAATTTTGTTTATATTTAGTATAAATTTTAAAAGTTATATATTTCTGAGAATATTTTATCTTCATTTCAAATTTATTGCCTTACAGATGTTCATAAAATCTCATGCCTTTAATTTTGCTGTGTATGCAATTTTGACCACATTTTCACATGTAATATTGTCCTTTCTTTTCAGATAAGGACAATAAGTTTCCAGAATGAATGCTTTTGGAACATAATTTCCTACAAGCATTTGGAAGTAATTGTATATCCAAGTTTTGGTGGGCATTGTTTTATATAAGTCCATGATATAAAAATCTTCAACTGTACTCTTTCAACAAATAACTGTTTTGCTACTACTTGTCCTGAAATTCAATTATTCCTTTTTATCCAAAGGTTATAAGCCCAGCAATGCCTTCAAATGCTAAAAGAGCAGATAATCTATTCCATATGGGCACCCTTAAATATGTTTTCTGCAATGATAACCAATAACAAATATTGCGTTATTAAAATTTACAGCAACAAATGTTAGTTTAATATTTTAAGGAGGAAGGAAATCACTGCAGGTTATCTGTTGCTTACAAAATTGTTGGAAAGACTAAAGGAGCATTTCTAGACTCCATCTATTCAAATAATTATCAAAATATTACAAAAATACCCCACCTGAGGAACAAATGCCTGTGAGGCTGGAAGTTAGAACCTTCTTTACAGTTGTTCTCAAACATGTAGAACCTGGAGAATGAAGATCCAAACTGTAATACAGACACTAGGCACAGATGAAGAAATCCCTGAGGTGGTCATGACTGATTACCCTCTTTAAAGAGTGTATATGATTAAAAAAATAAGAAAACTGCCTTTGCAAAACCTCATGTTTCCATAAACGTGTTTACCTACAACAACAGCAGAGACCTGAAACCTCCACATCTAGAAAATGGCACTTTGGTTTAGCCAACCTGGAGATGTAACCCACCTTCCTATTTGGAGATCTGTCCATTCCTTCAGGCTGTTTATCTAATTCTCTGCATCTAACAGTCTTTTCCATCTTCTACATATCATATTGCTATTCGTCTGCCTATGTATCCTGTCAATCTATTTGTTCATCTATCTCTATCTACCTAGCTATCTAGCTATCTACCTGTCATCTACCAAGTGAATCTGAATCTATCCATTCAACCATCCAACCAGCCACTCTATCTATCTATCTATCATCTATCCATCATCTATCTGAAGCTATCTGTCCATCTATATTCCAAATGTATTTATACTTACTATACGAATCTATTATTTATCCTAATCTGTCTATCCAAATCTATCTATCCATCTATTTCATCTGTTTCTTTCTGTCATTTATCCAGCTATCTACTCATCTATCTTATGTATCTATCTATCTATCTATCTATCTATCTATCTATCTATCTATCTGATCTATCACCATCTATCATCGATTAATCTACCTATCTACCCATCTATTTATGTTTCTATCTATCCATTTTCTATCTATTAATCTGTCATATCTATACATCTATCTATTGATCTGTCTTCTATCTATCCACCTTATCTATCTACCTATCTATCGATCTATCAATCTATCTATTAATTATCTATCTACCCATGGCATCTATCTACTCATGTATATAAATACATATCATCTCTTTAGTGTATGTAGTTCTATCGATATCTGTCTAAGTGGACCAGCTCAAGTGGAACTTTCTCTATGAAGCTTCAGTTAGTTATAGCAAAGTAATATAAGAAAAAAACAAAGAAATCATGATTCTGGTGTTCAATTTTCTCTAGTGCTTTTGACTCTCGCCTCTGTGAAAATACATATATTAATATTCATTGGTTCTTTGAGAACTTATGTCTTTCCATTGATATTCTTGATATAGTAAAATTTTGAAATCATCTCAAAATTGTGATTCTAAATGAAGTCATTATCTTCTAAACAAGCTATTTTCCTTATATTTACTGTTTGTTTTTTAATGCTATACTCATGTTCCTAGTAATTCATGAATAAAATATGAACATTTAAAACTTGGCCACTTTTTACAACCTATCCATCAAAAAGACTTTAAAGTGTCTTTCAAATCTCTCCTTTCATTTTTATATCTGCTTTAATTTAGACACTTGATGCTTATTGTCTATTCTCCCACAAGAGTCTTCATTCTTTCTCACCTTAAATACTTTCTTCATGCTATTAGGACTTTAACATTCCTAAAATAATTTTTTTTTGTAACATCATTGCCTCTTGGTCAAAGTTATTCAATGTGTTCCTGTTATTCAAAAACAGAATTTATCCTTATGTGGATCCAGACTATTTTTCCAATCTTGGTGTTGCTAATTAATGAAGGTTATAGAACTTAATTGGTATGTGTATAGTTTCTCATAATAGCTCTTCTATTAGTTGGAACATAGCTTCTTCAGCACTACTCACGCCACATTGGGAGTCATGTATCCTCTTTGTTATTGGTTACTTATTCTTTTAATATTTGTAATGACAAGTCAGGAAGTAGGATGGCTATCGGCTCTATCCCAGAAGCCTGAGAACATTAATAAACTCATCAGTTTATACCATTTGGGGTGAAGAAATGTTATCTTTGACTCTATGTGCTAGGATGGTGAAAAAAAGTTTTGGAAACCTTAAGTTAGGAATAGTTTTTACTAATTAGCAGTTGCCAAGAACACATGCCTTAAATAAAATAAGAGGACTTTTATTTCTTATGCAAGCTTTCAAGACTTAGGTGGGAGATTCATGGCATTGGAATCCAGCTTTCTCCTGTATTGCTGTTCAGCTTTAACTTGAGCTGTTGAGAAAGAAAAGTTAAGTAGTTAGGGTGGGTCCTTAGTAAAACTCCTTTAAGCAGAGAAACAGCCTGTAAAACCAGGCTTCAGGCACAGATAAGGAAACTTGCACAAACCTCTGGCCCACGGAGATAAAGGAATGAGGCCCAACATAGAAATGCCTTTGTTCTTTGTGCTTAAGACGTGCCCCCAGCTACACTGATAAGGAAAAAAGATGCAACATAGAAATGCCTTTGTTCTTTTTATAACCAGCAGGCTTACAGGAAATAGTCTCTTCTCCTTCTGTGGGCATATACACAGCGGTTCCAGTGGGTTCCGGTGGGCACTTTCCTTTCCTTTTTTGAACATGCTTTGGATTGTGAGACAAGCCTCCATGAATCATCACTTTAGCATCTGATTGGTCCTGGGCCAAGTTCCTGCTAAGCTTTCACTTCAGCTCCTGATTTGTCCCGGGCCAAGGTCCCAGGCCAAGCTGAGTAGCCTCTATGTGTCATCACTTCAACTGCTGATTACTCCCGGGCCAAGCTGAGTAATGCCTTCTCCAAGACCAATCAACACATTCCTTACCTTCCCAGTCCATAAAAACCCCAGACCCCAGCCAGGCGTGGTGGCTCACCCCTGTAATCCCAGCACTTTGGGAGGTCAAGGTGGGCGGATCACGAGGTCAAGAGATTGGGACCAGCCTGGTCAAACATGGTGAAACCCCGTCACTACCAAAAATACAAAAATTAGCCAGGCATGGTGGCGTGCACCTGTAATCCCAGCTACTCAGGAGGCTGAGGCAGGAGAATCGCTTGAACCCAGGAGGCGGAGGTTGCAGTGAGCCAAGATTGTGCCACTGCACTCTAGCCTGTGTGACAGAGCGAGATTCCATCTCAAAAAAAAAAATCCCAGACCACAGCCTCATAGTGGGCAACCCACTCAGGACCCCCTCTCTGCTGTGGAGAGCTTTCTTCTTTTCCTCATTAAACTTTTGTCCAACCTCACCCTTTGTGTCCACACTTCTTAATTTTCTTGGCCGTGAGACAAAGAACTCAGGGTGATACCTCATGAGAGACTGCTGCATTGCGGTGCATTGGCAAAACTGCAACACTGTGATTGTCTTCATGCTTGATGTAAAATGCTCGCTAACATGCCTATATTCTTGCCAAGAAGGAATTGGCTGATACAGAGTGGATTGCACACAGAAGCCTTCAAGAGCTTCCCTGGGGCTTCACACAGCCTTTCTGCCAGTATCTTATTGACCAGAAACTACCCATACTAAGCTTCCAGGGCACACGCACACACAAAACAGTCTCTATTTTCAGTAGCTTTGTGTCTAACTAAAGACACAGAAGATTTTTTGGTATTGTTTTGCTCTGTTTTCCTAAATTAAAAAGTCAGAGGAAACAACTGAACTTCTCTATCCCAACTATCAATCACCCACAGTAAAATACATGGTGGATGAAATTCATACTTGAAGAATCCAAGGATTTAAAATGTTGGATTTTAGACCAGTATTGGTTAGAGTTCATTATACTGAAAGTAAGAGTAAAAAGTGTTTTTTCTTTTTAGAAGTCATAGAACTATCTCTTTTTAAGAAAATGGACTTCGATATAAATGTTGATGTATTAAAAAGTAAAGTAAAAGATTGTATGCCTCCATATGCAATCTCTGGGAGGTTGTGAAGCCAACAGTAGGTATTACCATGGGAAAAAGATTGCTAGAGCCCTTTAGAGTCTATTTATGTCATACTAATTTGGCTTTGCTCATGGTACTTGTGCATGCACAGGTAGTGTTGGAGGAATGATAATCGGATGGTGTGGCTTGCACTCAATGCAGACTTCCAAGACTGTACTGGAATACAGATATAAAATGTAAGAACAAATTGAAGGCCCCAAAAATATCTTGTGACACAAACAGAGGCCAATACAGCTGCATATCAATATTAATATTCCCCTATGAATTTTTAAAAAGGTAGCCATAGAAATAGAATGGAATATAACCATATTTCACCATGGGATATTGTATTGCTTCCATTTTCTTAACATCAGATTGATCAAAATGCTATATTTTGGTTTAGTGAATCTATGATTACACAGTTCCTTAAAAAAAATTAAAACCTTGTTTTCTAGTAGACCTTTAAAGTTGCACTATGTTTTGTTGTTTTATAGGTAAAATGGTCTGAAAATTAAGTACATTCAATAATGCCTACTGCTAGATCCTCTTACACAAAGAAAAATGTGTAAGATGCCATAGGCTATTAAATATTAATGTTTGGCAGAGGAAGTGTATTAGGGTTCTCTAGAAGGACAGAACAAATTATATATATATATAAGTTTATTGAGGAGTATTAACTCACACTATCACAAGGTCCTACAACAGGCCATCAGGCCATCTGCAAGCTGAAGAGCAAGGAAGCCAGCCGGAGTCCCGAAGCTGAAGAACTTGGAGTTTGACGTTCCAGGGCAGGAAGCATCCAGCCCGGGAGAAAGATGTAGACTGAGAGGCTAATACAGTCTAGTCTTTTCACATTTTTCTGCCTGGTTTATATTCTGGCCAACCTGGCAGCTGATTAGATGGTGCCCACCCAGATTAAGGGTGGGTCTGCCTTTCCAGCCACTGATTCAAATGTTAATCTCTTTTGGCAACACCCTCATGGACACACCCAAGATCAATACTTTGCCTCCTTCAATCCAATGAAGTTGACGCTCAGTGTTAACCATCACAGGGAGAGAGTGTCAAGATTCCCTGTGAGAAGAAACCTATATATTATCTCTCTACAAAAACGTACTTTTGAACATGCGTACATTTTCCATATAATTTGAAGGGCTTAGTGATAAGTGCTCATGTAGCAATATTTGTTTTTCACAAAATCAGACAGAACTAGATAAACCTGACGGCAACACTTTCAATTTCCAACATGCTCGTTCAGCAGAGTGCAACCATTATCCCTTCCCAGTGTTATCAAGAAGATTAAATGAAATCACAAAATAAAAGTAACTACAATTATTTAACATCATTTTAAAAAATTCTACATTATAGTAAAGTTTCCATTGCAAGAATTAATGTGTTATTCAGATTCACTAACTTTGTGTCTATCTCAAACTCTGTCACAAATTTCATTAACCTCTAGGGCTTGATATTAAAGAAAGAAAGAAAGAAAAGAGGCCGGGTGCGGTGGCTCACGCCTGTAATCCCAGCACTTTGGGAGGCCAAGGCGGGTGGATCATGAGGTCAGGAGATCGAGACCATCCTGGCTAACACGGTGAAACCCCGTCTCTACTAAAAATACAACAAATTAGCCGGGCGTGGTGGCACATGCCTGTAGTCCCAGCTACTTGGGAGGCTGAGGCAGGAGAATCGCTTGAACCAGGGAGGCAGAGGTTGCAGTGAGCCGAGATCATGCAACTGCATTCCAGCCTGGGTGACAGAGCAAGACTCCATCTCAAAAAAAAAAAAAAAAAAGAAAAGAAAAGAAAAGAAAAGAAAGAATGTTTATTTTGCTGTTATGTAATTTCCCTGATGCCTCAAATTTTGGATAGAAAATAGAAAAGACATTAAGTAATTTTGAATCAAGTAAGAATCATATAAATTATCAGACTACTTTCAGTACGTAAAGCACCTCACATTTCTGCATGTGTGTGTGTAAAAATAATCGTAATGTTATAAAGATTTGGAACTTCAAGCAATTATGGCAGGTGTCCAAATTTTCTCTATATAAAAGGGTTAATCTTAATTGGGGTCAGCCCAGTTTAAAAGCTTTAAGTTGTTAGTTTATTCTATCTATAATGCCTTTTGTAACACTCTATTCTACTTAGTCTACAATGAAGACACCCTAAAGCTGTGTCTGCTCTTGAAAATACATTATTTTTAAGAGTTATTTTTCACATTTGAGTAATTTTGTTCTGTTGGGATTACATCTAGAATGTTACATATAGGATGATGATCTCAACTTTATGAATAAAGTTATTGTGATTGATTACCATGATAAGCATAGGTTATAATTATAGCTAAATTAATGTGATGACTTACTATTAGCTAGATCCTCTCCAAATGCCAGTAAATGGAATATTAAACTCTCAGCAGATCTCTGAAAATGACTATATATTGAGCAGATTGAAATTAATTATGTTTAGAGAAATTTTGGAACTAGCTCAAGATCACTGACTGAGTCGAAATTCAAAATTGATTTTATCCAAATATTTAGCACCTCTAATACCTTTAAATATAGTGAAACACACACACACATATATAGAAACAGATACACACATACATACACATTTATACAATTATCTCATATACAGAAATTTTGTTACATATTTTTATTTAAAGTCTCTTGCAGAAGTGATGATTCCTGTTCAGATAGAAAATTGTGTAAGCCATTTGTTCTTCTGAGTTGATCAGTTATATCATGATAGCTTTGCTAAACCTATTGGAGAGCAGAGACTGCAAAAAATAAAAAAAAAAATCTGAAGCAAACCGTTTGTACATAAACTTCTCTTAGGAAAGAGGGGACACTGGCCATAAAACCACAAGTGATGAAGGAGTCAGACACAGCTAGGTCTAAGGAAAACCCAGCTTAATGCCACAGATTTTGAATGACTGCACATCGATAGGTGTGAAGAAATATCAGCCTCCACAGCCATACAGAAAATTGACAACCACCTCCCAATATTTTTTTCCTTTGGACCGTCACCCAGTGCATATGTGGCATATACTGAAGGATGGAGGAAGGGCAGAAGGAACCACAGGATGTTCTTCTAAGGCCAAGCAAGCCCACATAGCTCTGAGATCCTTTGAGGAAACAACAGGTCTTCTCTTGGTGGACTGTGGCTCCCTGCGAATGCGGTGGGCAGTGCAGAACAGGCGAGCGAGATTCCTAAGAGGCTTCCAAGCCTTAACAAAAAATAAAGACAGCATCAGTCCATCCCTAAGGCTTAGTGCAGGAGAGGAAATTTGCTTGGGAAATGAGAGTACCTTTCCCTATTTATTTCAATCATCTGGAAACAAGCAGGCATTCTCACCAAACTATCAAAGACATCTTTATTGATTTGCATGCTTTCTCAACATTTATTTTAAACAACTGTTATATTAGAGTGATGTGCTCTTTAAAATTCAAACGAAGCTCATATGGAGACATTCAGAATTAGAATTGGTCAAAGGAATACACACACACACACACACACAAATGTATATATACAAGTATATACATTATATTTTTCAGAGTGGACATATATCTGTTCAAATATCTGTTTGTATTCATACATTTATATGTGTATATGTGTGTATATATATACACATACATACATGTATATATTTTTCTTAGAAGACACGTGTCTGTTCAAATATCTGTTTCTTATTCATATACATCTTAACATATGTGTTTATAATGTTGCCTCTACAAAGATTTGTCTTCTGTTTCTGAATAGGAGAAAGAGAGAAAGAGAAAGAAAGGAAGAGAGGGAAAGAGAAACAGGGAGAGAGAAAAAGAGAGAGAAAATATTCAGTTGTGAAAAATGTCTGGTCATATGACCATATGTATTACAAATCTTTGCCAGAACTGTTCATGTTTATCCTCCTGAGAAGTGATCTGTTTATCTGTTCTTGTTTTCTGTTTTCATCTAAGAATTTTCGTGTTTTACTTCCCTGACCTGAAGATCCAGCTTTTTTCAGTCTCCATTCAGCACACTGCAGTGACTTTGTCTCACCTTATAAAGTATACAGTGATAGGCCAGGTGCAGTGGCTCACGCCTGTAATCCCAGCACTTTGGGAGGCTGAGGCGGGTGGATCACGAGGTCAGGAGATCAAGACCATCCTGGCTAACATGTTGAAACCCCGTCTCTACTAAAAATACAAAAAAATTAACTGGGCATGGTGGTGGGCGCCTGTAATCCCAGCTACTCAGGAGGCTGAGGCAGGAGAATGGCATGAACCCAGGAGGCGGAGGTTGCAGTGAGCCGAGATCACGCCACTGCACTCCAGCCTGGGCGACAGAGCAAGACTCTGTCTCAAAAAAAAAAAAAAAAAAAAAAGAAAGTATACAGTGATAAAAAGCTGAATTACTCCCATGAGCATATTGGTTGTTTGTTATTTGCTTCTTTTGTGGGTAAGCAACTCTGAACACTTTATGTACCTTCTTTCACTGGATTGTACACTTGGGACTTTTAAATTTTGTTTTAATATTTATTATGTATATATTTCAGAGCTACATAATTTGATGCACACAAATACAGGATTACCATAACTTCCTATTAGATACTAGCTTTTGGTTATGGATTTAATGATATGTTTTCCTACACTTTTACTTTTAAACTGTGTCTTTATTTTTAAAACACACTTTTTCAATCAGTATAATGTCTTACTTTTTGTTGCTGTTCTTTTTAAATCCAGATTGACAAGCTAAATATTTTGCTTGAAATTCTTAGTCCATTTATATTTAGTGTAATTGCTGATGAGATTTTGTTTTGTTTTCTGTCTGTACAATCAATCATATAACTTCTTTTTTATTTGGTTTGTCTAATTTATATTGTCTTGCTCCCTGTTTTTAGACATCTTTTATATAGACATCTTTTTATTATTTATTTGTACTTTCTTTTAACTTTTTATAGATTTGAAATGATCTATAGTTAAAGATTACAGCCCACATCCTAGATGTGTAAATCTCTAATATAAAATATTATATTTACAATTTTCCCAATGCAGCTAAAACCCCACACTCTCCAAATTTATTTACCTACTTTACCTCTTTTGGTATTACTCTTCCTTTCATTTTTAGTTTCAATAAAATTTGAAGTCTAAAGACACCAGAATTATTATTTTATAATTAATAGTTGTTGACATATATGCATCTATTAGCTTTTTGTTTTTCCTTTGTATTCTACTGCCTTTCTATATCCATGTAGAATTATTATCAAAAATTCTCCGTATTATTTCCTTTCTTATAGATGTCTGCAGTAACAAATTCCATCAGTGTTTATATGAGAGTACCTTTGTTTCCCATTCACTCTTTCAAACATATTATTGCTGGTTAAAGAAAACATAAATTTTCTTCAGCACTTTAAAAGCACTATTCCATTACCCTCTGCATTCCCAAAAATTTCAGCTGTCAAAACTATGACCTTGTTATATACCCATGAGAAATCCCTGGTCATATGTACCAGAAAGGTAGCAAAAACATGATTTTAGTAGCATTACAGAATGGCACAAAACCTAGAGGAACCTCAATGCATCTGAAATAATGAATACCTAGTCTATGTTTTACTTATATAGTGGAATATTATAAAACATTGTAAATAAATTATCATTACTACATGACTACTTGCAAACATAAATGCACATTAATAACCATGTTAATCCATAAAAAAGTTCTAAGAGAACATAGAGTATAATGTTCCTTTAAGAGTAAAAAATTTATAAAGTAAACAAGAGTACCTGCACATTCCTTTTCACATATTTGTTTACCCACACATAGATATATGCAATTACACATGCATGCACATATGCATATGTATGCCTGTACACATATATACATATATATGCATGTCTATATGTATGTGTGGATACATGCACACATACATACATGTGCATATGCATACATAAATGCAAGTATGCATTTCAAGAATTTGGTTACCTATGAGAGGAAGACATCATGGCTAATAAACTAGAGGATATACAAGCTATTCAGTATAGTGTATTTAAACATTTTTATTATACAAATTATATAAATAATTAGTTCTGATATCCAGCCACACACAAAACACTGAGAATGATTTACCACAAACTAGCCATTGCATTCAATTAAACTTTCTTTCCTTTTTTTATTTTTAGACAGAGTCTCGCTCTGTCACCCAGGCTGGAGTACAGTGGCATGGTCTCGGCTCACTGCAACCTCTGCCTCCTGGATTCAAGTGATTATCCTTCCTCAGCCTCCCAATTAGCTGGATTACAGGTGTCCACCACCACACCTGGCTAACTTTTTTTCTCTTTCCTTTTCTTTTTTTTTCTTTCTTTTTTTTTTTTTTTTTTTTTTTTTTTTTTTTTTTTTTTTTTTGCATTTTTAGTAGAGATGGGTTTTTACCATGTTGGCCAGGCTGGTCTCAAACTCCTGACCTGAAGTGATCCACCCATCTCAGCCTCCCAAAGTGCTGGGATTACAGGTATGAGCCACCACACCCAGCCTTCAATTAATCTTTCTTATTTGACTTAAACATAAAACATTTAACTTGGATCTTTATATTATTCATTTTGTGGAAAACAATTCCTAACACTTGACTCTAATTATATTTCTATTACATTGAAGGAAAAGATAGATTCTTGTTTAGATGCTCTTACAGGACAAAATTCTCATTTTAAAAATCTTGATGCTTAATATTTCTTTGAACAAGCAGTTTTGTTGACATTGTTCTTTATTTAAAAAGCCAATGGTTTTTTGTTGTTGTTTCTATTGTTTTATTTCTATCTCCCTTCCCAACTTCCTGTTTTCAATATTAAGATAGTTCACCAGCTTCTAGAGCCATATAAATATACGACCATGACTTAGAAATCTAGAAAAGAGAGAGAGTTCCCCAGTGCTTCAAATAAACTCGCTCTAATTGTACTTTATTTTCTTCCATTCATCCTAAATTCTGTAGCAGTCAAGCTCATCCTCAGGAATGATTCAAGAGCCTTAACCTATAGTTTCCACAGTCATTATGATATGGTTTGGCTGTGTCCCCAGCCAGATCTCATCTTGAATTGTAGCTCCCACAATTCCCACGTGTGGTGGGAGGGACAGGGGTGGAGGGGAGATAATTGAATCATGGGGGCAGGTCTTTCCTGTGCTGTTGTCATGATAGTGAATAAGTCTCACAAGATCTGATGGTTTTATAAAGAGGAGTTCCTCTGCACAAATTCTCTCTCTTCCCTGCCACCACGTAAGATGTGACTTGCTCCTTCTTACCTTCTGCCATGATTGTGAGGCCTCCCCAGCCATGTGGAACTGTGAGTCAATTAAACCTCTTTTGTTTATGATTGCCCAATCTTGGGTAGGTCTTTATTAACAGCGTGAGAACAGACTAATACACATTATTTCTGAGTTAATTGTAGAATAAAGAGTTACCAGACTAGGTTAAACTTCTGAACAATCTTTCTCACCTAGTTTTCATCTCCATCATTTTTCCGCATTACTCTTTGTATGCAAAAGGCAAAACCAGGTCATTTATGGTTATCTAATGGAAGCCCATTTTCCCATCTCTGTCCATAGATTAAGTAATCTCTGCAACTGGGACTCCTCCTTCTCTATCAAGAACACTGTTCTTGTTTCAAAGTCCTGCTTGCTCACCAGCTTTAACTTAAAGGAGACCATTTATGGGTTGTGTCTGTCTTGCTGTTTCTCCAAATCAATGTATCCCCACTGTGTGATCTTCCACCCAGTGGTCTTCTGCTCCATTCTGAACTTATCACATTGCCTCTTGCAGTGAAAGTCTGGGGTCAAGTCTTTTCCATTCATTCCCAAAGCCCCTTGTGAACAGCAATCACTCATATTCACAGAACCCTGTGAAATGCTGGTTTAAATGAATTGCCTGTTGGAAAGGCTAGACTCTGAATAAAATCATACAAAGCTCAGATAAAATATTCCTGGAACAGCTTCGAATTCAAGGTCAGACAACAGTTCTTATGTTGCAGTCTGAGCCCATAGCTGATGTGCATTGTTGGGTAAAGGAAGTTAAACTCTTCAGCAATCAATTTCTCTATCCGTTCAACCAGAACGTTAACTCTGATCATTTTAAGGTGTCCTCCATTCCTCATATCTTGTGCTTTTATGAAGCTTATAATTCCTAAAGGGTTGTTAACCTTGAAGCACATCTTTTGTAAAGAGGTTTGAATATTCCATTACGTGAAAGATCCATGGATTGCTTGTGAGCGAGTTTTCTTAAAGCTGGGTGGCATATCAACATTTCTTATCCACACTGAACCAGTATCTGTAATTTTATGGTACTTACATGATAGAATGATCAGAATTTTCCTAAGCTCATTTGCAACAAACGAGGGTAAATTTTTTTAATTACTTTTTTTTTTTTAAATTTTCCCAGAGGGAAGTAAAATAAAACTTTCTTTCTCAGGAACATTAGAAAAGCCTACTAGGGAATATAGAATCTAATAATATGATTTTTCTTCCTCTTCTAAGGAATGCAGCTTCTGATCTGAGTACTCTACTCACAACAGAGAAATACCCACCTTTGTCATTAGAGGTAAAATTCTAAAATGTGAAACTTCCTATTGTGTTAGTGGTGAAGATTTGCATCTAGTGTGTTCTAACTTTAGACATGCTTTGCTTTTAAAGATTATCACTCAAAGAAGCTACAAGTACCAAAAAGGTTTAAGAAATAGATGGTACGTAATTCACACAGATGAGTTCAGAGATTGCAATGAAACAGCTAAAGATTAATTGACAGTGAGAAAATCGAAGATGTCAACTCTACCCTGTGACATCAAATGACTGAATACAATGTTTTTTTTTTTTAATGAGAGCATTTTGGTTTAGTTTTTGTTATTTATTTATTTATTTATTTATTTATTTATTTATTTCTGTTTAGGAAGCCTCTTTGAACAAAATGACTCCCACTGAAGAGATGTATAAATGACCCTGTCAATTTCACTATAAAATTATGCCATTAAATTTGCTTTGCAAAAGAATCCATGCAATTAACCTACCACATAATCTATGCTTCATGAATTATATGTCTCTCTTACGGGATGCATCACAAAACAATCAAATGTTATAAAACAATTTTAAACTGGCTGATATAGGTTATCATCCCCTGAATTATGCTAGATATTGTGTATTATGCATCTTACAAAATGAAAAAGACATTAAAAATGAAATGGGGAGTTTTTATAGCAGAACACCAAGTGAAATTAGGAAAATAGAAAGTAGGCATTATTTTATATAGATGACACAAATATTTATGTTAACTGTATACTCTTAAATATGGAAAATAAATTCCATTAAATAAATTCCATTCATTTTTTAAGCATAAAATTGAAATCCAGAAAGGCTAAATGACTTGTAAAGAGTAAAAAAATTAGCTAATGTCAGGATCAGACATACAATTTAGATTAATGACATCTATATACTAATATTTTCATTAGGCATGTAAAATTTAAATGTTATGTATGTTAATTTAATGTTTGCTATATAGGGCTATAAGTTCAGAAATTCAATATATCTAACCTCTGGATTTTTTTTTTTTTAATGGAGTTTTACTCTTGTTGCCCAGGCTGGAGTGCAATGGCATGATCTCAGCTCACTGCAATTTCTGCCTCACCGGTTCAAGTGATTATCTCGCCTCAGCCTCCTGAGTAGCTGGGATTACAGGCACCCGCCACCATGCCCAGCTAATTGTTGTATTTTTAGTAGAGACGGGTTTCACCATGTTGGCCAGTCTGGTCTCAAACTCCTGACCTCAGTTGATCCGCCCGCCTGGGCCTTGTAATTTTTTTTTTTTAATTAATTTTGACAACAGTAGACCATCTTAAAACTTATGTTACAAATCAAGACTGTAACTTCCATTATATAGGTTGTATTTTTGTGTTATTATACTATGATAACTTTAGTGATTATATTCATAGAATACAATATAGGCAGGGTAAACTAAAATCATTTCACTCATTAGAAAATTATATTCATAATATTGAGATTAATTCTAAAATGTAGGCCTTATCTTTTTACACAAGGATAGATCTTAGCTAGGAAACACAACAAATAGGTTTTTAAGGTCCAAGTGGTCTAAATGTTGTGCCATATTAATCTATCTATCTATCTTTCATTAACTTGTATTTAAAGGTAGTTTATAAAGTGTTGCTGAGATCTAATAATGTCTTTGTATTTTTAAACTTTTATTTTAGGTCCGTGAGGACATGTGCATGTTTCTCATGTAAGTAAACTCATGTCTCAGAGGCTTTCTGTACAGATTATTTCATCACCCAGGTTCTAAGCCTTGTACCTAAAAGTTGTTTTATCTTATTGTCTCCTTCCTCCCACCTTCCACCATCAAGTAGGCCCCAGTGTCTTTTGTTCCCTCTATGTGTCCATATGTTCTCATTTAGCTCCCACTCATAAGTGAGAGCTTAGGGTATTTGGTTTTCTATTCCATGGTTAGTTTGCTAAGGATAATGGCCTTGGGCTCCATCCATGATCCTGCAAAAGACATGATATCATTTTTTTATGGCTGCATAATATTGATGTCTTAATAGCAGTACTTGTATACAATTAGTTAACCAACAAGTCAAAGTCCTATATAAATTGTAGACAACAAGCTTCCTCCTAATTCAAAATGAGGGACACTGTTTGCAATAGGAATCACAGAAGATTTCCAGACAACTAAACTGCAACATGGGAGAGAGAGGAATTTTGACATTGGTGATAAGAAATAGTATTGACTGCAAAAGGAAGTTGTGATCAGAGGCACAGTGCAAAAAAAAAAAAAAGTAAAATTTTGTGTACACGCAGAAGGATGAATTATCTCAATACATCTGTTAATGTTTTAAGGACATATAAAGATGTTCCTTCTATCTCTATCTTTCTCCATATGTGTGTGTGTGTGAGTGTGAATGAGTATGGGTGTATGAGTGTGTGTGCACACACACATGTACATACAGAGATCTTGTTTATGATTGGACCCCAAAAGATTCTGTACCAAAGAATGACTCCTATATTCCTCGTAGATGCAAGTTGTAGAATAATTTTCCATTGGATTTGTAGGTTATCACATCATATTGGTTCATAAAAGCTATTTAAGAAAGCCTTTGGGGTTCATAACACGTTAAATTAGTGGGTGAGTAATGAATAGTGTTATTGTAACTAAATTCCTTCCTCTTTAATTGGCTTAAGAGAATTTCTGTATCAAATAATTATGCTGTCAATTCTACTAAAGTAAAATTCAGCCAAATGTACTATTTTATTATTTCAGCCAAAAGTACTACAGTGGCCATTTTAAAAGTGTAAATTTTAACTAAACTTGTTTTTGACATTTATGAGGAGAATTACAAATAAGGTATAAAAGTATGTTCTTGGAAATATAATTTTTTTGTATTGATGGGAGAGTAGAATTAACTGTAATGAATGAGGAAGTTAGCAAAATGGCAGTATGCATTTTTCATCTTTTATCATTCTAGTATTTTTTGAAAGCTGGTGGTTACTATTTAATACATATGATCCAAAAGGTGTATGAAGGTTTGGAGCTAAGTGGATTGTGGTCACAATAGACTAAGGACTAGTTGTTAAAATGCAACTGCATGTTTCTATATAATATTCTTTAAAAATTCTGCTAGATCTTCATAATCAGAGAGAAAAAAATGTCAGTTCTTTGACATTTTTGCAGCGTAAACAAATACCTTTTGCTGGTTGCATGTGATACACACTAAAAAGTTTTACTGTTAATATTAAGTCCAACTCTTAAAAAGAGTAGTCACATGGGCTCCTTATTTCTGAATTAGCCTTGAATTAGCTCTTTTAGTGCTCAAAAATTAGTATTCTTGATAAACCGGGATCAATATTTTTTAACTCTTATATCAAGGAGAAGAAGAAATTCTGATATCAGCAGGCACGAAAATTTATGTTTTAGGTAAAGCAGTATCAAATTTTATCTTCTGTGTTGTGTTTATGAAGGACTTGGAAGCCGTTGTGCCTTCAAGGAAATTTACTTTTTTTTTTTTTCATTCGTAGCTTCTGTTAGGGGAATTCTTGGATCAAGAGTTCTTACACTAAAACATCAACTATCACATGCGATCTTTCGACACATGCATTTCTCCTCTTCAAACTTCTTCCAACAACTATTTTTTGAGACACTTAGGTTGTCGCTGGGCAGAGTAGAAACTTATAAACAGCATTTGTTTAGCTTTGGGGTGATGGCTTAGGATCACAATATCTCATTCTCAAAAAGCAAATATCACATTTAACATTTCAGAAATCTGTGTAGTCAATTGTGGTTGTCGCAAGGATGGCGGGGTCTTCTCAGCAATGCAACACCTAAAACAAGACGCAGGACAGTACTGAACACAGAAGAATTGTCCCTTGACTTCAGTCTTTACACAAATCTTCCTAGACATGTAGGTGAAAAATCTGTTTATAACTCTTCAACTCTAAACCCGTTTCACAGATGAAGATAAATAACGTTTTGCACGCTTCTCATACACACCGAATTTTCAAGACACACATATAATTATGGAACTCTAATAAAAATATTGTTTTGTTTCATCTAAAGTTCCTTTCTAATTGCATTTTTCTTTCTGGATAAAATAGTCCCAAAGTTCATGTAAGTTGCAAGGAAATTCTATTTGAAATAATGACTCTTCCTATACTACTAAGATTCTAACGAAACTGATAATGAGTTTCCTGGTTACCGTGAAAATCTAATTTGAATTCTGGTACTGAATGAAAACATTTTCTGTATTTCAAATCTAATCATGTTGGTAGGTAAAGCTGAATGTTCACTTGTGATTTCCTGTCACCCATTTTCTTTTCCGTTAGCATGGGAAATATTTTCTTCACTGAAGAGGATTATTTAGGAAAAAATAGATCCTTGACGATAATGAGATTTTTATTCAATTTTTATAATTTCTCCTTTACATGCACCGTCACAATGGGAAAATGCCAAATGCTTCTATTTTCCATTACTTCTATCAAGTTTTACTGTTTTGGATATTTAAATAGCATAAACACTTTGTAACGGATGATTACATGGTTTCCCATTCTACAAAAACAAAACAATGAAAATAATGTAATATGGGATACTCAAACTTCCACAGTTTACTCCTCCTTTAAAACCTCACTGGCTAGAATAAGAAGCAACACAAAATGATTTTCGAACACATGGCGAGAACTTGACCCAAGAGACGAATATACTATATTTTTTCATGCAATTTCAAGAAGGCTATTATCTGAAGAGGTGGCCTTAAAGCAACCTGTGATTTAGGAATTGCCCCAAATGTATTATTCCAAAACAACTGGAATGTCCTTATGAAACACTTGCGCCGACCAGATGCGGCTAGGGTCAGAGTAGTTTCAGATTTTAAATCACCATATGTACCCATCTCTAGCAAATTGCAATAAAATGACACTGAAAGTATAATTGCCTTGAAATAGTTACAGAATCTTCCTGTAAAAGGGTAAAAAGTGAAAAGAACATAACAGAAGTAGGAGAGGAGAATTTTGCCTGGGAAAATGGAGAATGAGAGTAATTTAAGCCCCAAGCAGCATAGCCATGTTTTACCATGCTTTACCTTCCCCTGCCTTTCATCTTATTCATGCACGAGAAAGGAATGCAGATTTGATTTCCATACAAACTGCCAAACAGCCACAGTTCTAGAATGTGGAACAGCTTGGAAACTTTCTTCATTGGCCACATCTCCAATCAATGAGGCTGCCCTTAGCGGTTGAGAAGACGGTGTTTAAGAGACAAAGAAACATGGAGGAACTGGAAAACATTAGGACATTATGCTTAGTGAAGTAAGCCAAACACAGAAAGACAAATGCCCTGTGATCTCACCTGTTTGTGGAATCTTAAAAAAAAAAAATCAAACTCATAGAAGCAGAGAATTGAATGGTAGTTACTGGGCTGGAGCAGGGGAGGAGATGATGGGGAGATATTGGTTAAAGGAAACAAAGTTATCAAGAATATTGGTCAAAGGATACAAAGTTATCAAGGCTATTGGTTAAAGGAAACAAAGTTATCAAGGGTATTGATTAAAGGACACAGAGTTATCAAGAGTATTGGTTAAAGGAAACAGAGTTATCAAGTATATTGGTTAAAGAAAACAAAGTTATCAAGGGTGTTGATTAAAGGATACAGAGTTATCAAGGGTATTGGTTAAAGGAAACAGAGTTATCAAAGATTGATTAAAGGAAACAAAGTTATCAAGTATAATGTACACAGTTAAAGGACACAAAGTTATAAGAATATTGGTTGAATGATACAAAGTTAGATACGGTAAATAATTTCTGGCGATCTATTGTACAGTATGGTGACTATTGTTAATAATAATGTATCGTATTCTTGAAAATTACTAGGAGTAGATTTTAAATGTCCCCATCACAAAAAAAGTAACTCTGTGAGGTGATGGCTATACTAATTAGCTTGATTTAATAATTTCACAATGTACACACATATCAAAGCACTGTGTTGTACTCCATCATTAAATAAATTTTTCCTCATTTGTCAGTTAAAAATAATATTAAAAAGAAATGTATAATATTAAAAGGCCAACAGCACAACAGCATAAAGAGAAGTCAGAACATTAAATGCGGCCAGGTGTGATGGCTCACACCTGTAATCCCAGTACTTTGGGAGGCTGAGGTGGGCAGATCACTTGAGGCCACCCTGGGCAACATGGTGAAACCCTGTCTCTACTAAGATACAAAAAATGAGTTGGGCATGGTGGCTGGTGTCTGTAGTACTAGCTACTTAGGAGTCTGAGGCAGGAGAATCCCTTGGACCCAAGAGGTGGAGGTTGGAGTGAATCAAGATCGTGCCACTGCACTCCAGCCTGGGCAACATTGAATGCTGTGGAGTAGACCATTCAGTAGGGTTGCGGACCAAAAAAAAGTCTAATACCAAAGTAAAAAAGTGAGACATGGGAGATGATGGAACAGGGAGAAGATATATTGTTAAGTATGAATTATGCAATCATTTTTTCAGAAGGGAGCATGCATAAAGATGAAAGTGAATGGCCCTCAGAGTACAGGGATTTATGAAAAGTAGAATTCACAGTAGATAATATATTTATGTTATTTTTCAAAGTACCCACTCATGGTAACTTGTTTTTACTGTTTATTTTTGTTTGTTTGTTCATTTTCACATAATTACGGCTCTAGAGGAGAGAGAGTAGAAGTCTTGTCTGGAGCAAGTAGTAAAGGTAAGTTTAAAGTCATTTCCTGATTTCAAAGCAAGAAAGGGTCTGTAGAGGGAAGAAGATAGGATTTTGATTCAGGTACATCTGTTGCATTGCTTTGTTGACATAATTCTGCATAAAAGGAAAAAATAATTACCTACTCATGATTTTTGTAAGAACTAGGTGGGTTATATAACAGTCCGTGATATATCACAAGTGTTCAGTGTGCTATTATGATTATAATGATGGTTAGACAACTGGTATAGGGGACTCATTCAAAGTTCAATACACATGAGGATCAAAGTGCATGAGAACTTGACTTAGAGGAAATCCACAGTCTTTTAAAGATATCTGTCACTTGGGTACATCTCCAGGCCCCACTTCCATCACCATTCCTCCCATTAATTAGAAGGTATTGCATTAAAAGGAAAATGTACTGTTCCTTGGTGCAACCCTAAATGAGCTGGGTGTGGTGGTTTAGTCTTCTAAATACTAAGAATAAAGCTGAACAAAAGACAAGAGTATTACCACCACAATAATTGCCTGAACCATTGTCCAGGGACATTCAAGATTATGAAACCCAAACATCAGCACTGAAATCAAAGAGAATTTGAATGATCTCTAGCAGCAGGAAAAGTATGTCTGCTCTCTGCACTAATCCCAAATTCCTACTGCACTTAATAGGTCCCACTTTTAAAGGACACCTGTCAGGACTTGGTCAAATGTATTAAATAGGTAGTTTTCCCCTGACATAATCAGACAACTTACATTGGCAATGCATCCATAACTAATACTTAAACGAGGAACATTGAGAATTAACTGTTGCATTTGACTATAAGAATCCCTGCATGTTGTTTTGGTCAATTCACTTACTGGACAAACCAAGAAAGTGATTGATTAGTTTGTACAAACCAATACGTGATCTATTGTTGAGAACGAATCACTTTTCTTGAAGCTTACTGACTTCTCGATCTACTTTAGAAATGTTTTATGCTAGTAAGTGGTGAGATGCATACAATAACCTGCAGACTGTGCAGAAAAAGGATGACAGGTCTAATAGAACATGGAAATACTTTGCTCTGTGACCATATGAAAGAGTAGACACTGGATCTATCATGTCTAAGCAAAAAGCCCCAGAGTGCTGAAAAATGACTATGTGATTACAGTGTTTGGAAGTGTGTCAACGATATTAGAGTTGAAAAAGTCTAGAGTAGGGCATTAACCAACATGGTGCCCTGAGTGCCAAATTAATGTTGTTAGTAGCAATGTTTACCAATTATCTACCATGTATTAGAAATTGAATCACTGCAATGTTATGATGCACAGATTAGAGGTTGTGTTGAGAAATGGAAAGAATCTGAAAATTTAGCTCCTAAACACATGGGGTTTTCACAGAATAATTATTATTGAGTGCTATTGGAAATTCTTCTAAATTCTCAAGTATTTACTTCTCAATAATAATTATCCTCTTTTTCCAGTCTGAACTGATTTTTTCTTCAGACAATTTGCCATCCTAAAGCTTACCTTCACTGTTTCCTGAATTGAATCCATTATTTCTTGGAACCTGGGTTGTATTTATTTGATGATTTTGCTTTTTTTCCTGTAGAGTATTCTGTGAAAATCCCACGTGTGTAGGAGCTAAATTTTCAGATTCTTTCCAATTCTAAAAGAAAACTGAGTTATCCAGCAAGACACATGACTAAAGTTGGTATCAGCACCATTTTGCATTGCCTTCTGCCAAGGCTCTAGCCATCCCACCTCTCTTTTTATTTATCTCCACTCTTCATTTGATTTGTGCCCCCCTTATCTTGTTTCAGATTTACTAAAGGACTAAGAAGATTAAGTATCAATTAATGAAGTAGCTCTATTTGGCTCTTCATAGGTTCCTGGATAATTTTTTTTTTCTTACTTAACAATTTAATACTGTCAAATGTGGCTGGCTCACCCGACACTACTCTAAGTAGAAAATACAGAGCTTCCATCTCTCCTGAAATCAGCATTTTAATTAGCAGGCCCTCCGTGGAGGATTGACAATGCATTTTCTTAATTTTGGGAGGCAGTCAGTGGATAATTCTCCTAGGAAAACTCCCATGTCAGAGGGTCATATTTGGCAAGTTTAAGAAATACTTTTAGATGCCTCTTTAATTAGCTTCTGAAACCCTTCAATCAAGGTGTCATGGGTAGTTGTATTTCACTTACTTTATAAAAGGAAGAGGTCCACTTAAGATGCAGAAACCCTGTGTCTCAAATATAACAGCTGCTTTAACAGAAACTCTTCAATGGGTATTTTCACACAGTTAACATACATCTAGTTTTCCCACATCAAACACACCCCATTTTGGAGATTCAGCTGCGCGGTACTTGTTTTTTTTCCCTCTTTTCCTGAATGTTGAATTAACAATTTGAATCACTGCAATTTTAAGACGCAATGATAATTTTGGGGAAGTATTTACTTTTAAAATCTTATGCTCAGACATCAGGCCTCTGATTTCTGGCCATTGCTTAAGAATATAAATGCACTTATGAGTAAAATATCAAGGAAATATTGGCTTGTTTTTACTTTGAACACAATTATGGTGTTACATTTTATTGAAACCATGACACTTTAATGCCTGTAATCCCAGCACTTTGGGAAGCCAGGGCAGGCAGATCACCTGAGGTCAAAGTTTGAGACCAGCCCGGCCAACATGGTGAAACCCCGTCTCTACTAAAAGTACAAAAATTAGCCGGGCATGGTGGTGGGCACCTGTAGTCCCAGCTACTCGGGAGGCTGAGGCAGGAGAATTGCTTGAATCCAGGAGGCGGAGGTTGCAGTGAGCCGAGATCGCGCCACTGCACTGCAGCCTGGGTGACAGAGCGAGACTCCATCTCAAAAAAAACAAAAAACCAAACCAAACCAACCAACCAACCAACCAAACAAACAAACAACCTGCCACGAATACATTGTGTATATTTCTTGGTACATATAATGCAATCATTTCAGTTTAACGTATACTCAGGCATGGAAATTCTGGGTGATATGAGTATGAGAAAATGCCAAATTGTTTTTCAAAGTTAGGCACCATAGAAGTCCATGGAAGTTCCCTTTTCCCATATACTTGACAGCACTTGGTGCTGTCAAACTATTTCTCTTTAGGGTTGTAGATGTTGTTCCTCATTGATGTTATAAATTGTTTTCTCCCATTTGCTATGAACTGGACTGCCTTTTGATAAGTTCATGGTCATTCTAGTGTTCCCTTTTATAAAGTTCCTGATTATTTCGAATTTTTTCGAGCAGTGCGTCTTTCTTCTTCTCGCTTTGAAGACAGTCTTCATAAGCCATCTGTTCGGTGTATGTGTACCAAAAGCTTTATCTCACTACATGGTTATGTTTCCCTCTCTTTAAGATCATATTTGGCAAAGACAAGGTCTGAAATGTGATACCCTCAAATTTATCAATGCTTTTCCAATATTTTGCACTTTTGTGTCCTGCCTAAATATCTCACTTTACCCTGAATTTCTAAAAGTATTCTGTAAAGCTAGGAGTAGTGGTACACACCTGTAATCCCAGCTGCTTAGGTGGCTGAGAAGAGAGGATCACTTGAGCCCAAGAGTTCAAGCCCAGCCTGGGTAATACAGTAAGACCCTATCTCTGAATTTTAAAAAATTCTATATTATTTTATAAATGACCACTGTCCAACAGAAAGTTCTAAAATAATGAAAATGTCCTAATCTTCGTTATGAATACAGTAGTGTTTACTACATAAGGCTATAAGAACTTCAGTGGGGCTAGTGAAGATGAGAATGCAACTTTCTTTTGCTAATTTTGTTTAATGTTGGTTAATTTACATTTGAATTGCCATACAAGGTGAGTGGGTATCCTATTGCATCATAAAGTTCTAGATGCTTTATAGTTTTGCATTTCACATTTTGATTTCCTGGGAATTGATTTTCTCTGTGATAGGAGTCTATTTTCTCCCCCATCTTCCTCCTCTAGCTTTTGTAACCTGATCTTCTTTTTCATAATCTTAGTATTGGTACCCAATTAAGCAAGTCACATTTATTGCATAAAGAAAGGTGTACACATACTATTGCTTCTCTTTCTCTGCCTCACTCTGACAAATACGTCTTAAAAGGAATTAATGTTTACTGATAAATGTGAAAGGAAAATAAATCTTGGGGTCGCGAAATCACTAAGCTAAAGGGAAAAGTCAAGCTAGGAACTGCTTAGGGCCAACCTGCTTCCCATTCTATTCAAACTCACCCCTCTGCTCACTGAGATAAATATATATCTGACTGCCTCCTTTGGAAAGGCCAATCAGAAACTCAAAAGAATGCAAACGCCGTTTGTCTCTCACCCACCCGTAACCTGGAAGCCCCCTCTCTGCTTGAGTTGTCCCGCCTTTCTGGACAGAACCAATGTACATCTTACATATATTGATTGATGTCTCATTTCTCCCTAAAATATATAAAACAAAATGTGCTCTGACCACCTTTGGCACATGTCGTCAGGACTTTCTGAGGTTGTGTCAATGGTGTGCATCCTTAAGCTTGGCAAAGTCAACTTTCTAAATTAACTGAGACCTACCAACTCAGATATTTGAGGTTCACATAAGTAACTGAAGTGATCACAATTACCACCTGAACCAGGCTCTCAATTAGTTAGAAAAGTGGTCACCGTAGTAAATTGTTAACATTTTCACGTTTTCTTCTTTGATATTTTAATCTAAAAAAAATCTTTAAGACATGATGTTTAAATTCATCTTCGGTCTCATCAATCTTGTTATTAAATTCCCTTTCATTTGCTTACTTGAGCTTTTCCAATTTGATCACATACTTGTGGTTTTTGAACAAGCCCACACCTGTTCCTACTCACAGAATCCCTATTATATCTGAATTTCATCATTGTCTTATCAGTTGACAAACTGGACCTCACCAAAGGTCTGGCACTAGTATTAATACATGTGCCAAGATTCCACTTGCCATCAAAATGTGAATTAAGCGATCTTGAAATAAATACCTTTATAGATTAAATGCCTTCATGTATTATTGCTGTCCTCACCATGGGGAACCTTCTGAGCGGATGTGGCATCTCAGAGGGAAAGATCCTCTTTTACTTTAGTGGTAGCGTGAATTATTAAATGTGCCAACAGCAGCATGTATTTAAAATTATTTCTACTGGTTTGAAATATTTCATCAATTACAGAATAAACGATATGGAGCAGGTAAAGTGCTACAGTGTCTTATTGCTTCAGGTGACTGATATTGATCATGTGTCATCTTAAGCACAGCCTTGCTATGGAGCAATGAGTATAACATAATATTCATAATAACATAACATTTAGCACAAGTCAAGGCTGTTTTTCATGCAGGCATGAAAAACTGAACTCAAACTAGTGAACAGAAAGTGAAAAAAAAAGAGAGAGAGAGAGTATTGACTTGTATATGAGAAATTCTAGGAATGATGCTGTCCGTCTAATAAAATATGCCAGAGTCTTCAAATTGGTATTTACTTTTTCTTGTATCAGCTTCAAGCATAGCCAGGTTTTTCCCTTGGAGATGGGGACAAGTTGTTCACCAGGAGCTTAGGAAAAGTAAACCTGGTGGAAAAGATTTTCTTCCTTAAGCATCTTGGCAAAATTTTGGGATTCACTCTTGGATCAACTTGGATCACTCCTATGGACAGAGCTTGTTATTGATTAAATGGGATCTGGTGCTTTGGTTGAATTAGCCCTGGGTTATGTACATTCCCAGGGTCTCTGAAGTAGGGTCAGCTCCACTCAAAGCCCTGAAACTGGGAGTGAAGAAGAAGTGGGTAAATATGTAATGAAATACATATGAATATTAACTATATTTAAAGTATTCACATATGTGAAATGATATATGAAATATATAATATATGTAAAACCTAGTCACATTGACACTGTTATACCTAAAACAAGACATTGAAGAATAGACTATTAGCAGTATTTATGGGGCCCTTCCCATGAAGGCCTCCCGATGAAAGTGAGAAAAGTTTGTCCATTGGTTCTTTTCTCTTGGTTAGGATTGCTGGATTTATGGGTGTATCTTCAAAAATTATACCTGTAATTTGGCTTTGGATTTGAATTTTATGTAAATTTACCTTACTAGATAGAAACCCTATATTAGTCCATTCTCACATTGCTATAAAGAAATACCTGAGACTGGGTAATGTATGAGAAAAAAGGTTTAATTGGCTTATGTTTCTGCAGGCTGTACAAGAAGCATGGCAGCATCTGCTTCTGGGGAGGCCTCAAGGAGCTTTTACTCATGGCAGAAGTAAAGCGAGAGCAGGTGTCTCACACAGCAGGAGCAGGACTAAGAGAGACAGAGAGGGAGAAGGAGCTACACACTTTAAAACTACAAGACCTCATGAGAACTCTACCACGAGAACAACACCAAAGGGATGGTGCTAAACCATTCTCGAAGGATCCACTCCCGTGATCCAATCACCTTCCACCAGGCCCCACCTACAACATTGGGGATTACAGTTGAACATGAGATTTGGGTGAGGACACAGATCCAAACTATGTCAAATGTATACCAATTTCATTTATTTTACTCAATGTTATGCTTATAACTCCAATTTCATATAATAGCCGATGTGATAATTACCAAAATATAATATTCCCTCATATGAATAGAACACACTTATGAGTTCTCTAGTATTTCCACAGCTATGTCATTTTTACTTTTCTTCCCTAAAATAATAATAGCTGATGCTGGTTTGACGATGCTTGTCCATGTCTCTCACTGCATTTCAATAAAAGGTAGTCAGGGTTGTATACTCAGGAGTGGAAGTGTTCGGTCACAAGATACATATTTAAATCACATCAATATATCCCCAAAGTGTTTTATTCCCTCTGCCCCATGCTCTCATGTTCTCACAAACATCTGTTTCTGACGGACAGTTTAATTTTTGTCCAACCTGTCAGTGAAAATGGATATCTTTCTGTAGATTTTTATTTGCACTTTTTCCTAATCCTGCTGAAGATGACAACCCTTCCATTCTGACCAAGTATGGCTTCTTTTCTGTGAAATGTCTACTATTGCCTTAAAATGTGTTTCTGATTTTTTTCTTCTATGTTTGCAAATTTGATTTGCTTGATCCCTTTGTGTTATACAGAATAACCTGTTTTTCTTTATTAAACATTGAAAATTCTACATATAGATTGGGATTTTTAAAGACAATTTTTATAGCATCTATTCATCAGTCACTTTTTTCAATGAGCTTGTATGTCTTTCAAAACATCTTCTGCTACTATAATATAATGCACAGGGCCTTCTTTATCCATTCCAGTAAGTATTTCTTTCTTTTTTTTTCTTTCTTTCTTTTTTTTTTGATAGAGTCTTGCTCTGTGGCCCAGGCTGGAGTGCAGTGGCACAATCCTGGCTCACTGCAACCTCTGCCTCATGGGTTCAAGCAATTCTCCTGCCTCAGCTTCCCAAGTAGCTGGGACTATAGGCTCCCACCACCATGCCTGGCTAATTTTTGTATTTTTAGTAGAGGCAGGTTTTCACCGTATTGGCCAGGTTGGTCTCGAACTCCTGACCTTAAGTGATCCAACCACCTCGGCCTCCCAAAATGCTGGGATTACAGGCCCATTCCACTAAGTCTTATTTCCCACAATAACAAAGGCTCTCGAGTCACTCCTCTGTTTGTATCAGGAATATGTGAGACACCTTCCTCTGTTATTGCATAATATAAATAAAAATAGTATTTCTATGTCTAAAATTATGCTATTTTTACGTTCTTTCACTTTGAAACTTAAGGCAACAATATTTTGCAAGCATTACTTATAAAATGCAAATAATTCTGAAAAACGATTGTGATTTGGGTAAAATGGGAATGTTAGTTAATTAGTATTGACAGTGCTTTTTATTTTTTAGCAAAAATATTTATCTTGGTAATCAATAAAGAAACTTTCTTTGCTATGGTTCAATGGAAAACAATTCACCTACTAGTTTAAAATAAAAATGCATCAGGCAGGTTGATGTAGAATATATAGAGGATGTTGTTACTCTAGATGTACTAATGCCTAGTTACTTATGTGTATAGTTTTGTTTATTTACATGCATAGTTTTGTCAAATGTTTTACAACACAATTATATATTTAATATATGTATATTTAAGTGTAAGTATACATATCTGTTTATCGTCTATTATCTATCATCTACATCCATTTATCTATTATCTACATATCTACCTATAACCTATATATTATCTATCATCTATTATTTATCCATTATCTATCATATATCTATCTATATCTATCATCTATCAAAAAATAGAAAAATATACAATAGTATTAGCTATTGTTGTCTCTAGTGAAGTAATATTTCTTTTCTCCAATTTTCTGAATTTCTGAAATGAACTTATCCAGCTTTGAATGAATAAAGTTCTAATTTCAAGTATAAGTATTTACTTGCATATGAATAGTATGAGATCGGATTTTGTAGACGATCTCTGTGAAAACTGTCCTGTGAAGACTGTTTCTATCTTTTCCGTAACATCAGTGGAAATAAACTCTTTTCTTGTGTGTTCACAGGAAGGCTGGTAGATCAGCTGATACTGAGGAAGAGATTTCCAATATGGGTGGGAGAAGAAAATCAAGCCCTATGGAGAACTCTCCAATATGCATCTTGGCTTCTATATAAAAAAAAGCTTATGTAAAAAATGCTAAGTATAAACGCTGGCAAATAAGTTTCATACCAAAGAAGTCAGAGAAAAGGTTATCAGTTTCTACAAAGTAATATAGTTATCAGTCCAAGAAAGAGGAAAGAGGAAATGAAAAAGACATTTCAAAACAAGGTGTCAACTCTAAGAGTTTATGCTTTTCTTCTACTTGTATAGTATAAAATATTTTTCCATATTTAAGCCATAACTGATTTTAAAACATTTTCACCTTTCTAGAATTTCTATTAAATTTCTAAATTTTCCATCAGTAAAATTAAAACTTCACAGATATTGCTAACAATAATATTAAGAATACAAACTAGTACAAGTCATTATTATTTTTCCTTAAAGGTTTTGCCAATGAATGTGCTCACTGTTACGTACACTCACACATCCACACAAAAACACACACCATCATTTCCGCCATCAATGAAAATAAATATTAAAAATATATTTTACATATATACCAAATTTTTCTTAAGATATAGTCAATTTTCAGGTTGTAAAATGTTAGTTTGCATTAAAACCAGGTAGACTATGTCACAAATTAAAAACAGATGGCATTTGCTTGTATTATAAACATTTAAAATTCTAACAATGAGTATACGTGTATTTAATGTCTTGGAGGGAGCATTCACTTGACATAGTTAACAAACATTTTGGATTTCTGGGAGACAGTTGCTTGCAGGAAACAACTAAGTCATGGTTTGGGCATAATTAAAAGACACTTTAGCAAGTTTATCAATATGGGATTGGGCAGCTCCATTTGAGGTGATGAATTACTTTCCATTATATTCTTGTAGTCCCTTTAGCAGAATGAGTAAAGATTACATAGAACTGTGTCCTTCTGTAATTCTTTTCCTGAAACAAGGAAAAGGGTGAACTACTTTATATCAGGTACATTAGGTGATAAAGTTTATTCTACAATAAAGATTTTGTCTAGTTTTATCTTCCCTCGAGGGAAAAGCAGATTACTTAACATTTGTTAGATCCGATTCTCATGATTAGAGCAAGATTTCCTATGAGAATATTAAGAAATATAGAAAATTAAACCAAGTATTTTGTAATTTTCTCTTTAAATTTTTTAAGATTTTAGAATTTGGAATTCCAAATTTAGAATTTAGACTTTTAAAGTTTATTGATAATCTCTTCTCTATCAACTTTCTCTGAGCTTCTTAAATGATGAGTCTTCTCTCTCTCTTTTTTTTTCTTTTTTTTGAGATGGAGTCTCGTTCTGTTGCCCAGGCTGGAGTGCAATGGCACTATCTCAGCTCACTGCAACCTCTACCTCCTGGGTTCAAGCAATTATCCTGCCTCAGCCTCCTGAGTAGCTGGGATTACAAGTGTGTGCCACCACACCCAGTTAATTTTTGTATTTTTAGTAGAGATGGGTTTCATCATATTGGCCAGGCTAGTCTGGAACTCCTGACCTCAGGAGATCCTCCTGCCTCAGCCTCCCAAAGTGCTGGTATTACAGATGTGAGCAACTGCACACGGCCTTTCTTTTTAAACTCTAATTTCAAATGTTTCTTAGAAAACTAGTTCACTTGATAAAATATGTATTTCTCTGGAGCAACATTTCTCTACCTCAGCACTACTGACATTTGGACTGGTAACTCTCTTTTGTGGAGGGCTGTCCTGTGCATTATAGAGTGTGCAACAGCACCCCTGGCCTCTACTCATTAATAGCAATCCTGATCAAGCTGTGATGATCTAAATAAAACATCTCTGTGCATTGCCAATTGACTCCTGGGGGGCAAAATCATCTCCAGTTGACATTCATTTGTCTAAGCTCTACCAGAAGGTTATGCTAACTGTAAAATCACACAATTATAAATTTGTACAGGGAACTTTATTTTTATTTTATTTATTTATTTTGTTTTCTGAGATGGAGTCTTGCTCTGTCACCTAGGCTGGAGTGCAGTGGCGTGATCTCAGCTCACTGCAACCTCTGCCTCCCAGGTTCAAAAGATTCTCTTGCCTCAGCCTCCCAAGTAACTGGGACTACAGGTCCACACCACCATGCCCTGCTAATTTTTGTATTTTTAGTAGAGATGGAGTTTTGCCATGCTGGCCAGGCTGGTCTCGAACTCCTGACCTCAGGTGATCCACCCACCCCAGTCTCCCAAATTGCTGGGATTACAGAGGTGAGCCACCACGCCCGGCCAGACTTTGTTTTTTATAGAGTTCAAGCCTGTAAGGTGGTCGTGCTGAGGGGCTGGGAAGCTTTTTCTAGCAGCCACCCCTATTGTGTGTGCATCAACAAGAAGGCTCAAGCTACCTTCCCTGAAGTCATCTTGGTCCATGGGAAAATTTTGTAACCTTGTTAAAACAACCAGACCGCCCCTCTTACTAGCTTTCTCAATTCTATCTTTTATTCAACTAGGACAGTGGACAGGTGGCTGCTGAACCAGGCATTGGAATGAGATGGGTTGTTCCTTTTTCATAGGCACCCACAGTTCTAACAGGAGGAAACTCTTTTTATCTTCCGCTCTGTTAGTTGTGGTTAAAGGAGAAGACGCTATCCAATTTCGCTTTTCATTTCATAGTCACATTACTATGAGACCCTCCATCTTTCTTAATTCTATTATCCCATATTCTTGGGGGTAAAGCTATATTGGCAGGTCTCCTTCTCTATTCTGTGTTGAGTAATATAAAATTTATTGTCTTTGTACAAGGCATTAATAATGCATGCCTCTTGTTTTAAGTGGCAGCCAATGCCCTGCTGCAGTAGTATATTTATTTCATTGTGAAAATGAAATGAAAATAGCACTGCAAAGCCCTAGGGAGTCTATCAAAAAGTCAAGAACAAGTGAAGGATAAGATAAGTTACATGATGCTTTAGTCCAGCAACTAAAATTGGAATAAATTTGACACAAACTTAAAGTACATCACCAAACTTCTAGTGTTATCAGAATTGTTGTTATTTTATTTAATCAGCAGAGAGAAAGGGTGAAACAGAAGTTCAGGAATAAAATTAGGGCCGAAGAGGTGCTTAATGCAATTAATTACTCAATAAGAAAAACAAAAGTTTGCTGGAAACAAAGTTTGTGGTTGCTCAATAACAGTATCAGAAAATCGTGCTCTGTTTGATCTGAGAATAACTTTGAGGTCAATCATTTTTGTGATTAATCCCAACTCTCGAGTCCATGTCCCTGTGAATTTCCACACATATTCGTGCAACTATACTTTAGCGTTTATACCCCAGCTCTGTGGATGGATTTGCAAGGTCTCTTCCCACTCCCTGTAAGTGTATACCCTTTTCAACTTCCTCATCTAAAATAATGTCATGAATAAGTTATGGAGAGACTGAGCTGTTACTCTCTAGGGAGCATCTCCTACTCATCCCAAGTTAGATAAGATTCCAGATTCCCTTAGAGCATCATTTGCTCACTCTGCTTATAGTCCCTGTCTGGCGTGTTTTGAGCGTCTTAGTACTTGTCTGCTACCTATCCAGGATGAGAGCTCCTGGAATTTCAGGTTGACATTTAACTAACACTGAAACATGAAAAGCCCATCTCAGTGTCTGGTTGGAAGAAAATATATATATATTTCCCAAGGGATTAAGTCAATAAATACATGATTATTACCTTTCATTTTTACCTAGGGGTATTTGTTTTAGTCTCACTCTAGAATCCAAAGACCTCTCCTACAGAACAGCTATTGCTCCATTATAAATGAGTGAATGAGCTCATCCTCACCTATAAATTGTTCTCACCAAGAACCTTTGAGACTCTACAGGACCTATTAGAGAACTAGCTTCAATGCAAGAGATTATTAATGCTCACAAATTCATAAAAATGAATAACCTAGATATGTTGCGTGACTGAAAAGGGTTGCCTCATCAGCACCTGGCAGAGTAGCCAGTTATGATGCAAAATTAATGCAAGCTAGAAGAACATGTGTCTAATAGATGCATTACAAAATTTGTGTATCTTTATAATAATCTACATTACTCATTTTTTTTCACCACAAACTGCATATCAGTCAATATGGACATCTATATGTATTTTGAACTGATACTCCCCCTAGATCAGGCACAGCATTGGAAGTAGGCATAGAGACGTAAAGAAGAACAATACGGTTAATGCCGTGATAAGGTGAAAAATTCAATCAATAAACAATATATTTAGAGATTGCTATAAGAATTTACTATAAAGTTAATAATGGTGGTTCTGGTGATTCTAATGACGGTAACGACATTACAGGTGGTAATGATGGTGACTCTGGCATTTGTGATGATGGTGGTGGTGGTTATGATGACGATGAAGGCGACAATGTGATGATAATGATAATAATGATGGTGATGATGGTAATCATGATGGTAATGATGGTGATGATGGTGTTTGTGATGATGATCATGATGGTGATGATGGTGATGATGGTGTTTGTGATGATGATCATGATGGTAGTGACGGTGATGGTGATGATCATGATGGCAGTGGTGATGATGGTGGTTATGATGGTGATGTGATGATGGTGACGGTGATGATGATGATGATGGTGTGGTAGTATTGATGATTATAATGGCGATGATGATGATGATGCTGATGCTGTTCATGATGATGATACAGCCATACAGTGTTTAAAGGTCATTTTTAATAAGAGCTCACTATTTGATTTAATGTATTTCGTACATATAAAACATGCATGGTCAGACCCAATCCCTAAGTAAATGTAATTTTTCAATGCGTGTGAGACAGTGCAGTCCACTTTGCTTTTCCTTTTGTTCCAAGAACTGTAAAAAAGGGGTGTGGTGGCAGCCACCTGTAATCCCAGCTACTTGGGAGGCTGAGGCAGGAGAATCGCTTGAACCTGGGAAGGGGAGGTTGCAGTGAGCTGAGATCGCACCATTGCACTCCAGCCTGGGCAACAAGAGCAAAACTCCATCTCAAAAAGAAAGAAAGAAAGAAAGAAAGAAATGTAAAAACGAAGAAGACCCCAAGCCTACCCGTCTCTCAAACGTTACAGTACCTGCTTAAACATGAAATTGACATATCAGTAGTTCTTTCATTTATTTGTAGTTAATAGCACATCAGCATACTGTTTTTTTCTCACTTTAGTGCATAGAAATGTTACTAAGAATTGGTTTATCAAAACATATCCATTTAGCTTGTAAATAGTTCCTTCATTCCATAAAATATTTTTTGAAAGGTAAACATTTCCTGATTAGCATACAAAGTGGTTATTAACAGATGAAGAGATTATTAAGTATAACTTCGTGAATTATATATCAAATTTGAAGAACATGAAAAAAACTTCAATTAAGGCCAATCATGAAAAACTTTTATTTTTTGAAATACTGAATTATTAAGCACATATATACAGATCTATTAAACTTATATCTATTTTCGTGCTCAGAAGTATCAAAATTTATCCAAATTCCTTTCAACTGGGGCTCTAAAAAAGACAATAGTAAAATTTGTTCTTCACAGAAGAGACATGACGATATAGTGGATGCACATATTGAAGTAGAGATATTAAAATATTCTGGATGAAGCCCTATAATTTATCCTTGCTTCATTTAGTTTCCCTGTCAAAATTTTCACCTATTATAAGATGTATCTAAATTATTCTTGCATAAGGCTTTTTTTGACCACCCATAACTCCTTGTGCAGTTGGTTGGAGCTTTTCTATTTAATGTGAAATTTGACTTCCTTTCTGCTTAGTTCTCAGAAAGATGAGAAGATTATTGAAAATAGAAGTTTACCTGCCAAACAGTTGACTAAATATAAGGCAGGCAGTTAACTTTGCATCTTTTAAGCCAGTATGCTTTTCTGGCTGAGTCAATATTCATAGTGAAGAAATTGGCAAGTGAAAATCAGCATGAATAGCTATTAGCTCCAAGGAAATTACCTTTTCCAATTCCCAATAGATTTTTGCTATCTAGAGGAGCATTATATGTAAATAGTCAATATAAATAAAATAGATGTTAGAAAGAAGAGAAATGGGCACAGCGCTGATTAAAAAGAGGGACCTCAGTGATAATACTACGCTAGTTAAAAAATAAATAAACTTTATAATTCAGGAAAGCACAGACCACTAAAGTCATGTCATGCCAGCCCACTCACTGTCCAAACAATTGGTATTTTCTGATGGTAAAACTGAATGATGACTTTAGGATATCTGTGTGTTAATGTTCTGATATTATTTTCCAATCAATATTTTTAGTATTTCCAAAATTATTATTTAAATTTATAATCAAGTGTCTATAACCAAATATTTTCATATTTACAAAATTATAATTTTAAAATTATAATTAAAATATTATACAATAAAAAGCCAAAATGAAAGGGAGGCTAGGCAACCAAAGTGCACATTGCATGCAAGTATTCTAGATGCATCTGATAGTAAGAAATTAGTTAGCATGGCAGACAGAGAGAGAATCCAGGTGTTTTCCTTCCAAAGTCAGTATCATTTCTATACACATTTTACCTAAATTGAGGAATTATAGCATATGCCTGTCCCTAACCAGAGGGGTGTCCCCATGATACTATTCTCAATCCTTAGAAACAGTATTTAGGATTAGGCAGAGCCAGGTTCTGTAGAATGATTATGTGTGACTGGACAGAAAATAACACATAATTATGTGTAGATATAGCAATAAATGGAATAAACAGCCAAATTAAAACAAAGTGCAGCTTGTTGTCTTGTTAAATTATTATATTGTGATGTAAATTAATCACTCTATTTTCATGTGTAATCAGTGGCGTAATGGTGTAGCCAATAATGATGACATTATAGAGTGTGTAACGTGGGTCAGGTGCTGTGCTAACCACATCAGGAGTGCATTCGCTTTCTCCCTTCTTAATTCTCACAATTCTGTAACACAGTTCCTATTACTATTCCTCTGAACAATAAGCACTGGGTTGAAAATGGTGAAGGCTGTGTGTGGTGGCTCACACCTGTAATGCAAGCACTTTGGGAGGCTGAGGCAGGAGGACTGGTTGAGCTCAGGACTTTGAGACCAGCCTGGGCAGTACAGTGAGACCTCATCTCAACAGAAAATAAACAAAAAATTAGTTCGGGGCAGTGGCACCCACCTGTGGTCCCAGCTATTTGAGAGGCTGAGGCAAGAGGATCACTCGAGCCCAGGAGGTTGAGGCTGCAGTGAGCGCCAGATTGTGCCACTGCACTGCATCCTGGGTATCAAAGTGAGACCCTGTCTCAAAACAAACAACACACAAGAAATATATATATTTATAAATAAAACGATGACATTCCTAAGCATAACTGCGGAGGAGAAAAAAAACTTTGCTTTCTCCTATACCCTTCTATGTTCTTTGGCTGGTTTACACTTTAAGTTAAAATAAGACAGATTAACAGGAGACAAACAACTTTAATTATGTTCCTATGCACAGGAGTTCCACAAAAACACGAAACTCAAGAATCAACCAGACCTATGAAGTTTACATAGCATCCTGGGCTACAGAAAGAAATAGGGGCCTGTGACTTCTGGCAGGTGATGGAGACAAGTTACTGGAGGGTGAGGGAGGAGCTGTGTGGTGAGTAAAGGTTGGCTTGTTATGCAGATAAAATTATCTCAGGAGATCAATGTCTTCTCGGAGCAACACTATTCCTGGATCAGATATCTTTATCCCTGAAAATTTGTTTTGTAAATGTAATTTGCTTTACAAAACAGCAACTTTTGAGAGCTACTCCTGTATCTGCAGTCTCTCAAAGCAATCAGCTCCAAATAGTCAATATGCCAAATAGGTATATTTTGGTCTCCTGTAATCATATTCTGGGGTGATACGTCCCGAGCCCCAACAGGACTCAGCAAGTAAATGCCACTATTCGAATCCTGGGATTGTTATTTTGTATTTCACTCATTCATGCTATTTGAATATGAATTCTTAAATGCAATCAAAGGTACAACATTCAAAAGTACCAAAAAACTAAATCTAGACTTTAGCAACAATATTGTACATTTTTGGAAAAGTTTTCTAGAGATTACATGTTACATGCTACATATAAAACATAATGCATGGGGTATGCACATACACATGTTTTTATCAGTCTGTCTATAATATTTTATCAGTCTGTCTATAATATTTATCTATCATCTAGCTAACTAGCTGCCTATTTCCATCACCTATCCATTTATTCATTTATCTATCTAGAACCCATCCATTTATCTATCTATTCATTCAACTGTCTGTTTAACCATCTATCCATCTAGTTATCTATTATCCACCCACCCATCCATCTATGAGCCATCTATCCACCCATCTGCCAATCCTTTTATCTATCTATCTATATCTATCTATCTAACATAGCTACCTATGTGAAACTCACCTTTTAGTTAATAATAAATTTTGAAATAAATTCTCTTCAATACATATAGACCTGCCTCGCTGTTTTTAAATTTGAGCAATTCTTTATTTAAAGTCAACAAAATGAAAACCTAGGTATTAGAATTGCGTAGATCAGTGAACTTTCATAAAATCTATACACCCACCAGCCAAATAAAGATTACCATCCTCATGACCCTGTTTCATGTGCTGCCACTCCTATACCACCCCTCTGCCGAGGTGGTCATTATCCTGATTTCTAAGATCGTAGTTGGTTTTGCTTATCTAGAACTTCATATGAAAGGAATTGTAGTTAAGCAACATTGTCTCTGGCTTCATTTGCTAAATGTTGGTCTTATGTGATACATCTCTCTTTTTTTTTAATTTATTTTTGAGACAGAGTCTTGCTCTGTCGCCCAGGCCGGAGTGTCGTGGTGCGATCTCAGCTCGCTGCCACCTCCGCCTCCCAGGTTCAAGAGATTCTCCTACATCACAGCCTCCTGAGTAGCTGGGATTACAGGCATGCACCACCACCAGCAGCTAATTTCTGTATTTTTAGTAGAGATGGGGTTTTGCTATGTTGGCCAGGCTGATCTCAAACTCCTGACCTCAAATGACCTGCCTGCCTCAACCTCCTAAAGTGTTGGGATTACAGGCATGAGCCACTGCACCCGGCTAATCCCTTTGGTTTTAAGAAAGCTGCACAATCTATACTTGGGAATAGCAGCTGATTGGATGAATATACCTCAACATGTATTTCTAGCTTATTGTTACTAGACATTCACAATACTTCAATTTTGTAGCTATTATGAATACTTGCTCTTATTCATTTCTTAATGCCTGTGGAATTTGTTGTAATGCATCTTTTGTTGTTGTTGTTGCCCATTTCTTTTATCAGTAATTCATGCTTTTCTCTATTGTGTTTTTATTTTCATTTTTTAAATCAAGTCATTTCTATTCAAAACAGTATATTTTACTGTTAGTATTCTCAATTAATTTAATTTTAATTTCTCAATGAATATAAACACCTTAGTATTTTCCTAAGAGTTCTCGCCCAGGGCAGATTTTAAGAATTTTCTTTAACAGTTCCTACGTGATGTATGTATTAGCTTCCTATTGCTGCTGTAACAAACTACCAAAAGATTTGGTGGCTTAACACAATGCAAATATATTATCTTACAGTTTGGGAGATCAAAAGTCCAAAATGCATCTCACTGGGCCACAGTCAAGGTGTTGGCAGGGATGTCTCATACTGGAGACTCCATGAAAGTGTTCATGTCCTTATCTTTTGCAGCTTCTGTTGTCTGCCTGTACTTCTGGCTCTTGGCCCCCTTTCCGACATCACTCTGAGGTCTCCTAGTGACATCATATCTGCCTCTGTAATTCTCTCTGCCTCTCTCTCTTCCTCACAAAGACCCTTGAGATGACATTGGGCCCACCAAGATAATCCAGAATCATATCCTCATCTCAAGATCCTTAACTTATTTGCATATGCAAATCCCCTTTTGCCATGTTAGGTAACATAGTCACAGGTTCCAGGAATTCAGATGGTGTGTTAGTCTGTTCTCACACTGCTATGAAGAAATACCCGAGACTGGGTAATTTATAAAGAAAAGAGGTTTAATTGACTCATAGTTCCACATGGCTGGGGAGGCCTCAGGAAACTTACATTCATGGAAGAAGGTACTTCTTCACAGGGCAGCAGGGGAGAGACAGTGCAAGCACGGGAAATGCCAGACGCCTATAAAACCATCAAATCTCTTGACACTCACTCATTGTCACAAGAACAACATGCAGGAAACTGCCCCCATGATCCAATCACTTCCCATCGAGTCCCTCCCACAACATATGGGGATTAGGGGAACTACAATTCAAGATGAGATTTGGGTAGGGACACAGACAAACCCTATCAGATGTGGACATTTTTGGTTTTGCTTTGTTTTGTTTTGTTTTGGTAGGAGGCAGTATTCTGCCTACCGCAATGTGCATGAATGTTTTGTTGTATTTATCTAATTTTTGGGTTTTTATAACTTCTTGAATCTATTTCTGGATGTCTTCCCACAATTTGGATAATTCTGGTCAATATATTCTCTAATGTTCATTTATCATCTACCTATTTCTCTGTCCTGAACTACAAGACATAAGTATAACAAATATGTTTACCACATCATGTATATAAATATATAATATATAAACATATGTAATATATAAATATATAATATATAAACATAGATATTATATGTAAGTATATATAATATATAAACATATATACATATATATATATATATTTTTTTTTTTTAAGACAGGGTCTCACTCTGTCACCCAGGCTGGAGTGCAGTTGTGTAACTACAGTTCACTGGAGCCTCGACCTCCCCAGCTCAAAGGATCTCCCACTTCAGCCTCCCAAGTAGCTGGGACTACAATTATGCCTAACTATGCCCAGCTAATTTTTGTATTTTTTGTAGAGATGGGGTTTCACCATGTTGTCCAGTCTGGTCTCAAACTCCTGGGCTCAAGCAATCCACCTGCTTCTGCCTCCCAAAGTGTGGCAATTACAGGTGTGAGCCACCATGCCCAGCCTCATATATGTTATTTTAGTTGCAGCTATGTATTCCCTCTATACTCCTATCTTCATATTTTACCCACATTCCCATTCATGACTCCTTAATTTTAATAAAATCAACTTGTTTCTTAAATTATCTTTTGCTTCCTAGTTTCAGTAGTTGTATTTTTCACATCTAGTACTGTGAATTGAATCCTTGTTATAGATTCCGATGATCTAGAAGCAATCTTCCTGTGTCATGGATTTCCTGGAATAAATTAGTAAAAACATTTGAAAGTCTCTTTTAAGAACTTAACTATCTATTGGTCTATTTTTATTTACTATTATTTATCTTATATTTCAACCACGTGTTCATGCTTTCTTGTACATTTGGTAGTTTCTAAATAAATTCTGCACACACTGTATGAAAAAATCGTATCTATATTACATAGTATATTGATGTTAATATTTATTACAAATATATATGTGGGTGTATACTTGTGTGATTTATATCTATCTACCCACCTAGTTCTCTGACACCTCTCAGAGGGATAGATAGATAGATAGATAGATAGATAGATAGATAAAATTAGGGATAGATATATAGTTATGGATGAAATTCTGAAGTAATTCCTCTGTAGAACTTTTTTTTCTGTCAGTCAACTAGAGTAGGGGAACTAGAGTAGGGGAAGATCACCTTAATCCTGTCTGAACTTAAATTGTTTCAAAGTTGTTTTTAAGTCATTTTAGGTTTGCTTTACTCATATAGGATAACCCTACCTGTGTCCTAACTGGAATTTTATTTCAAGGAGGAAGGCTGATCATTATTTTTGCTGGTATCTGAACCCCAGTTTTGTCTTCCTAGGCCCCTGACTTCCCAAATTTCTTCTTATGTTTTACCCTTTTTGCTACCAGTTCTCCGACATGACTGGCTTATGTCATCAATTACCACAAACGGAACAGATTCAGAGAATATTGGGCTGATCTCAATATGCATTTTTTATGGATTGTATGGCTTACTCTACACATCAACCTCATTAAGATTTTGAAAAATTTCTTCTTACAATTTAATGTGTAGGAACGTGAAACACTGATACTCTAATACTTCCCTAATACAATAGGGCAACGGATGTGAGATCCAAAATTGTCACTGAGGCCTTCAGATTCTATACCTTTACATATTAACTCCAGAAATTCTATTAACATGGGCATTATGAACGAACAGCGCCATACCTGTAAACAGAGAACATCCTAGTCTCTTTCAAGTTAACCTTGTCTCTTTGAAAAGAGTCCTCAGTGTTTCTTGGTTTTTGCCAAATACCCCCACTCTGAAGTAAGAAGACAGGCAGAATATCTCCGCTTTAATGTGGGGGAGGAGACCTCAAATCGATAGGTCGTTTCCTGTGATGCTATCTGGAACTACATTACTAAGGTGCACTGCTGAGTGGCACCTGTGGATGAATTTCTAGGCTTGTAAAATAGGTTCCATGTTCCTTATGCTCAGAAGATGGTGAGGTATCCAAATGCTTGATCTTTGACCTCTTCCAACTTTGTTTTTTGATTGTTAAACATGTTTTGAAAATTATATTATTTGTATGTAAATGGTTGTATCATTCAATCTCCCATAGAGTTATCATTGTGAATGGAAAAAAAGAAAAGAAGTGAGGTTATGGATGTATGGATAAGCTAATGGATGGATGGATAGATGAATGGATGGGTGGATGGATCAGGGGATTGATGGATGGATGTGTGGCTGGGCTAATAGATAGATGGATAGATATGTGGATGAGCTAATGGATGGATGGATAGATGAATGGATGGATGGATCAATGGATGGATGGATGGATAGACAGATGGATGGATGGATAGATGAATGGATGGATGGATATATGGATCGATGGATGCATGGATGTGTGGATGTGTGGATTGGCTAATGGATGGATAGATGAATGGATGGATGGATGGTGGGTAGATGGATACATTGCAGACTATTTATATCTCAAAATTAACCATAGCATGAAAATTAGACCATGTTTTTCTTTAGAAGAATATTTAATGTATTTGGACATTGATATTTTAAGCTGAAACATGTATAAATTTTTCTTTTCTAGAAAAATAACAAGAAAACATTTTTCAGGGAAAAATCCATTCTTAGTATTATGGTGATTTGTATTGTGCCAAGAGGCATAATGAAAGTCCATAATGTCAATAATTTTGTTAAGTACAAGGAAAATATGTTTGGGGAATTATTGTTAACATTATAAAGAACAAAAACTTGATTCTGTAATATGTGTATATTTTCTCCCCACACTAACCAAATATAAAATAGAGAATCATCAATCATGGATAACTGTCTTTAAGAACTTTTTTGATTTCAGTTAATATAATGTTGCCTGGAATTACCACTGCATTTTCAGACTTTAGGGATTTTTTTAAACCTGTTGTAATGGTGTTATTTTACTGGCTTATTGGTCTTCTTTGGATTCAGCCTCCTATGAATCACCACAACTCAACAGCAGCTATCCTAACAGTATTAGATAGATCAAATCTTCATTACCCTCAGAGAAAAAAGCTGATTTCTCAGGTAGCGTGTGGAGATTCAAACATTTGGTAAAAATAGTACTACACACACAGTAGCAAGAATTTGTTGTACTTTGCATACAATGAAATATAATTAAATTCCTGTTAAATTGCATATATAGTGATATGGAAATAATAAAATATTTAATATGATACAGTAGAAAAGTGAATCAACTATAGCTACACATAGCCGCATGGATGGAGCTCAATAACATCTTATCTAGTTTAGAAAGAAGCCTCAGAAGCCTCTCTAACCCATGATGCCATTGTTTTAAATGTTTAGCACGAACAATGCCAAGTGTATTAAACCATTTTGCATTGCTATAAAGGGATATCTGAGACTGTGTGATTTATAGAGAAAAGAGATTTAATTGGCTCATGGTTCTGCAGGCTATACAGGAAGTGTGACACTGGCATCTGCCCAGCTTCTGGAGAGGACCTCAGAAAGCTTTTACTCATGGCAGATGGTGAAGTGGGAGCAGGCATGTCACATGCTGAGAGGGGGAGACACAGAGAGGAGGGAGGTGCCAGACGCTTTTAAACAACCAGATCTCACATGAATTCAGAGCAAGAACTCATTACCTCGAGGAGGCACCAAGCCATCCATGAGGGATCCGCCTCTAAGACCCATACACTTCCCACCAAACCTCTCCTCCAACACTGCGGATTACAGTTCAACATGAGATTTGGACGGGACACAACATCTAAACCATATCACCAAGTAATACCAACAATGGTATATATGGCATTATATAATATTATAACAGTTTATTTTTAAAATGATTTTTTAAGTTAAAATTTGAAATATTGATCACCTCGATTGCAGAGGTAGGCAGATAGTTAAAGGAAATAGCACATCGGCTGATCAAATTTATTGCTAATGTTCTTATTCTTGGGTTGGCTTATGAGTTCATAAGTGCTTTTTAAAATGAATGAAAAAATAATTGGGGAAATGGATAGATGAATATGTGGATGGGCTAATGGATGGACAGATGAATGGATAGATGGATGGATGGATGAATGGATGGAAGATGGATGTATGGAAGGATGGATGAATGGATGCATAGATGGATAGATGGATGAATGTGTGGATGAGCTAATGGATGGATGGATGGATAGATGAATGATAGATGGATGGATGGATGGACAGATGGATGGATGGATGGATGGATGCACAGATGGATGGATGAATGGATGAGTGTATGAATGGATGTGTGGATGAGCTAATGGATGCATGAATAGATGAGTGGATAGATTGGCAGATGGATGGATGAGTTGATGCACGGATGCGTGGATGGTCTTATGGATGCGTGTATAGATGAATGGATGTTTGGGTGGGTTAATGGATGGATGGATGGATGGATGGATGGATGGATGGATGTCTTTATGAGGTAGGTAAATAAATGGACAGATGAATGAATGGATAAAAGAAAAGCAAACATGAACAAATGATGCTAGTGAACTGTCATTATTCCAGTTCATTGCACTTGAGTTACTAAAAGACAAACAAGGAAAAAGAAGCTGGGTAAATTCTATATGCATAAGCATGTTTCATTCCAACACATGTGTCCAGATATCCAAGGGAAATTGTTTAATACTAGTAATGTCTGCAACTTACCTGTCCATGGTGAAGCGACTTCTTTTGTTAATACTTACTTCACTTCTGCCAAATGCTGCTAGATGGGGCATGATATAGAATGCAGTGGCTTCTCAGAGCCCTGGCTATCATGGCCCGAAGTCACACTTTGGGTAATACATTAGATAGTAAATCCCACCAACACCTTTCTTTGTTGATGTTTTCAGATTGTCTCCAAATGTGCTTTTCTTAATATACCACATTGAGCAATCAAATTGAAATCCAGAATACTGTGGTTTTACAAAAGGAAACGACATGTGTTTTCTAAAAGGAAAGGGCAAAAATAAAGTTGAATGAAGTGCTTGCACCAACTTTCTCTTAGTCTCATCACCTACCCAGAATATCTGAATAGTGTATTCTCAAGGCTGGGTGCTCTGTCTGCATAAGCATGAACTAGCATCACTGAATTCTAAATGGCAAAACACATGCAGGAAAATTTGACCGTTGAGTTTCTTCATCCACAGATGCTTGTTTAAAGGAAGCAATATGATATTAAGTCCATGCTTATTGCCTCAGTTGAAGGAGCCAGAATATGCATCTCAGTGGCCTTGCCTATAGTTGGGATGCATATTCTGGCTCCTTCAACTGAGGCAAAGAGCATGGACTTACCATACCTCTTTGTGTTCTCGAGAGTATGGTCTTATTTTAACTGCTCTGTCTTCCCCACGACTGTGCTATTTCAACTCAAGGTTTAATTCTCATTAGATTTATTGATTGATACTATATGATCAGGAAAATTGGTATCTTATGGTACAAAGAGCTGCAAGGCAATCCCCAGTGCCCTACATCTTTGTATAATTCCCTCCCCTTCAGTGTAGGATGGGCCTGACAATGAGATGATGAAAGCAAAATAACTAGCCCAGTGATTAGTTTATGCTACAAGGCACAGTTGACCTTAAGAGAGAAAGATTACCCTCAGTGGGCTTGATCTAGTCATGTTAGACTTTCAAAAGTACAGCTTTATTCCTCGAAAGACAGATTCAAAGCATGAAAAAGATTTTACAGGAGAGAGAGTCTTTGCTGCTGGCTTTGAAAATGGACATCTGTATTTGACAAGGAGCAGACACCAAGGAGACGAGCCCCGCCCCTTGTTAAAAGACATAAAGGAAATGGAGACCTCAGTTCTACAACCGTAGGAACTAGATTCCGCCACCACCACTGAACTCAAGAAAAAGATGGGGCAATGCCTTAATTTCAGCTGTGTAAGACCTTGGGCAGAGGACCCTGATATGCATTGTCCAAATTTCGGACCTGCAGGATTGTGAGCTAATGACTGAGTATTGTTTTAAGGGCCTGGATTTGTAGTGATTTGTTAAACAGCAGTAAAAAATGTATACTTAATAATTAGTGTATCAAATGAGGCTTTGAACAAACCTTAGTGACAAAAAGAAAAAAATTACGTTATCGTGACCATGTTTTCTTTGGACATAATGTCGTTTCTCTTTATCTAGAAGAGCTGATTTCGTATCAAAATATGACTTCGAATTCTTTTTAAAAACTGATTTAAGATCCCCTGCATTCTTAAGGAATTTCTCACTCATGGCTGACATTTATGTTTCTTTTCAAAATTCAAAATGCTATATAAATATAAATCTATTTTATGAAATATTTATAACTGATTTATATTGTATTAGAAGTTTGGAAAACTGATGTTTGAGAAGATTTTTAAAAATTAAAACTGCTGGATATAAGAAGACAAAATATAAATTGTACTATAGGTAAGTAAAAACATTTAAACTTTTTATTTCTGTAAAATGATTGCAACTACAACATCACAGATACTGAGATTATATTTCAAATGTTAGTGATTCATTGTCCTTTTACTCAGACACTAGCATATACATAGACTAGAGTATTAATATTTTTTGGATGATCCTTTCCAAAGAGATTATTTTATTTTTAGAGTTAACTTGGTAACCAAGTTAATTTTTAACCATGAAGGGCATGGTTAAGAATATTGATTCCTTAATATTCACCACATTGCTAATAACTCATTCATGTGAATATACATCTTTAAGTTACATATGTGTGCATTCACAATAGGATATTACAGACGACATACATTATTTTTAGCATTTTAGCAAATTTGAGAAAAATCATCTGTCAGAGATGACAGATCCAATTGGCTCAGATTTATATGCCCAAGAAATGTCCACATCAGATAATTATTGCAAACTACTATTTGATAGACTTCTAATTCAAATTGTTAGTCAAGGAATTGTAATTAGAAGACCTATTTATACTATTTTAAAAATGCCACTGACACCTAAGTAGATCGATAAAGATCTATAGTGCTTACCATTGTGATTCAAAGATTTAAGGATTTCTAAAACATATTGATTAATAAAGTTGACCAGAAGGCTGGGGAGAATGTAAAGATTTAGGAAAAGGCTTTCCCTATATCTGGTCTCTCTTGAAAATACTTGATCTAAGAGAGAGCACCCAAGAAAGGACACTCTATTTCTCTCACTCTCACACTGCTGAAGAAAAGAAATCATGTCCAGAACTGCTTCTAATTTACAGAAGAGGAGAAACCAATTAGCTCATGACTCAGATCAAAGGGACAGAAAAATGCAACTCAAATTAAGTGCCCATCCTGGGGCTAACAGGAATGGCCAGAGGGACTCTAAGGCTGTAATAACAAAGCAGTTACTGGAATAACCATGTGGGTTGGGGGGCAAGGAGCAGGGGTTCACATAAGTCTGTTTGGATGACATGAGGTTGATGTCCGTACAGTAGTGGTGATACAATGAGTGCAGATTATAAAATTGGATTAATTCAAAATGTGGAGTACTCAGAAAACAATGAAATTCTTCAGATAAACCTTTTGGAGATGATATGACTTGAAATGGACTTCAAGGAGAGTAAAAGAAAGATAATAAAGAAGAATCTGTCTGCTCTGAAAACCATGCAAATGAAGGTAGGATTCATCAAAGTGCCTTTTAGAGAAAGTCTGATGGGACAAAATATAATTTTCAAGAAATGACCATGGCGATTTCTTCTTTTATTTTTTCAGGTGCATTTCCTGATGTGATTTGTCCTTCTCCAATCAGTCCCCTAAGTCCATGCATATTCTCAGAATTTAAGGAGGGGCAATCCACAGAATACAAAGTACAAAGAAGTCAATTAATGGCTATTGAGTTTCAGCCTCCCAGAACAGCTGAATGAATTGAAAGAATACAGGTCATAAAATGAATGCTGACTGGGGTGAGATGGTATACATCATTCTACCATAAAGACACACATAGGCACATATTCACCGCAGCGCTATTCACAATGGCAAAGAAACACAACCAACCTAAATGTCCATCAGTGATAGACTGGAGAAAGAAAATGTGGTATATATACACCATGAAATACTATGCAGCTGTTAAAAATAATGAGATCATATCCTTTGCAGGGACATGGATGGAGCTAGAGGCCATTATCCTTAGCAAACTAATGCAGGAACATAAAACGAAATACGGCATGTTCTCACTTATATGTGGGAGCTAAATGATGAGAACACATGGACACATAGAGGGGAACAACACACACTGAGGCCTACTTGATGGTGGAGGGTGGAGGAGGGAGAGGATTAGGAAAAATAATTAATGAATACTAGGCTTAGTACCTGGGTGATGAAATAATCTGTACAACAAACCCCCATGACATAAATTTACCTATAAACAAACTTGCACATGTACTCTTGAACTTAAAACTTCTTTTTTTTTTTTTTTTAAAAAGAATGCTTTTCCACTGTGCACAGAGTAAAGATTCCAAGGATTGCGTGAGGAAAGGTGAATTAGAACAGTCTGGAAAGGAAGCGGAAATGCTGATTTCACTGGGTAGGGGTCTTGCTGTTGGCCCTCTGAAGCAGATCAATTCTTTCTGCCCTCATTCCCAGATACAAATAGTGGAATATTCCAAGATCTTAGAGTTTCCTGGAGAAGCATTTCTTTTGGCAATAAAATAATAGAATATGCTGTATCTAGGCAGAGGGATTCATAATCACGTCAGATTGGATCAGCATGGCATAAGAGCTTCGGAATGGACCCATGTGTTGAGAGCATACGGAAAATGGTAGGGGATAAGTTTAATCTAAAGTGGCCAGAAAATAACACACTGCACTGGCCAGCACAGCCGTATTTTTGAAGACTAGACGGAAATGACCATATCTTAAAAGATGACTTCTTGGCAAAAGTGTAACACCAAAGGCCAGGTGTAAAGTCATTTTCTATCCTCCCCTCCTTTCTCATAATCAGTCAGTCACTAAACTCCTTTTCAATGTTTTTACTCATTATTCCACTGCCGGGTACTGTTGATAAATTAAATCCTAATGCAAAACATGGTAAGTGGTCATTTTCAAATTGCTGACCAGTAGGAAAATAGGTAATTTATTTTCAGGGGGAAGTTTTCTATAAATGGTATAATGTAAATGACTGACAAGATGAATGCTGAAGGTGATACTGAGACTAAACTCGGAATTTCCTTGGAAAGCAGCATTCAAGAATTTTGCCTTTGCTAAATGTCTCTAATACTCTGCTAGTAATTAGCTATTGATTCAAGCTGTCAGTGGTCATTGTACTTTGTGTCTTTGCCCATGAAATGTGAAATGTATCCAGTCACAATTAATCCTGAAGCCAAATGCAAAAGAAAACATTTTATTTACATAATGCCTGTGGTGGAGGAAAAGCAATCTAATTAGAAATTAAAAGGCAAAGATAACTTTCGAAAGTAAATTAAATTGATGAGAAATCTAATATGATTTTTCTCATACACTTGCTTTTTCTATGAAAACTCATGTCCTCTTTCTGAGGAGAAAAAGATGGTATGATTTCAAGGACAATTAGGCAGTTGTAAATTTTACCATCTTTGATACAGAAGGGAGCCAACGTGCTACAAAATGAGGCATGGAGCGTGTACTTGCAAGAGAGGAATACTGAAAGCAGGACATGCATTCTTATTCACATTCTTACTTAGATTATTTCAAACTGTCCCCTGTGCTTGCTTTACCTTATGCTTCTTTTTAAAATAATAATACTTTTAAATAATATCATTTACCATTTTTATGGACATATTTTATTCTCTTTATCATGGTCGCTGGGCTGGCATCCCTTGTTGTATCCTGATATTTTGTTCACTCTATCATTTATTTCACAAATATCATTGCCATTCTGCTATGTGTAAAGATTGTGGTAGATGCCAGGAAAATGTAATTGAAAAATGTAATCATTGTGGTCAGATATTTCAAATTCTTGTAGTTGAACAAATACATAATTGATATGCATCATCTATATTTCATACTTAGGAGAAGGGTGAACAACATGCAATAGAATATAGAGCCCATGAACCTAAGACCTGGAGACACTAGAGAGGTTCAAAGAAGAGGTGGTCTTGCATTGAAACATTTTTTGTTTTTGTTTTGTCCCAAACAAAACTGGTGATATCATTCAAGGCAAAGGCAACTAGTTATGGATACATGCATTAATATCTGGTCATGTATTAGTGTTTCTTCCCTTTGTTTCTTCCATATTGACATCATGGACTGATAACCTTCTTGCTACCAAAACAATCTCCCCTGAGCTTTACCACAAATCAGGGTCTTGAGGCTCTATTGTATTAGTCTGCTGGGGCTGATATCACAAAATACTATGGATTGTGTGGCTGAACCACAGAAATGTACCTTATCAGAGTTCTGCAGGCTGGAAGTCTGGGATGAAGGTGCTGGCAGATTTGATTTCTAGTGAGGGCTCTCTTCCTGGCTGGCAGATAGCCACCGTCTCACTGTGTCTTTATGTGGCACAGAGAAAAAGAGAATGATAGCTCTGGTGTCTCTTCTTCGTATAAGGCCATGAATTCCATCAAGAGGACTCTACCCTCGTGAATTTACCTAAACTAAATTACCTCCCAAATGTGCCATCGCTATATACCATCCTGTTGGCAATTAGGCTTCAACCCGTTAATTTGAGGGTGGCACAATTCAACCCATAGCACTGCTGAAGGCACCTGAAATGCTAAAATAGCTAAAATTTGTACCTTAAAGACACAAATCAAAGCCTATGTATCTGGCTATAACCACCAAGTCCTTAATAAGCACTGATATTTTATATATATATATATATATATATATATATATATATATATATACACATGTGTATATATATACACACACACATATATATGTATATATATGTATATATGTGTGTGTATATATATATATATATACATATATATATATATATATATATACATACACACAATTGCTGAAGAATAGATCTTGGGTGTCTATTCCAAGTAAAGTTAGGAGGGCGTTCTTGTCCTTCCTGGCATCATATGCCTGTTTTTACATCACTTTGGAATTTAGAATAAATGATTCTAAAATACAACGATAGTATTTTTATATTTGCATCATAGTAAGGTAAAAGTTTGTCAATAGAAATAGCAGACAGAGCGACTCACTGCAAGAAAACGATATTTATTTGGGAATGGACATTGCAATGGGCATATGAACACCACAGTAAAGTATGCGCATATTCAGGAAGGTAAAGAAAGACAAAGATTTTTGAAGGAAAAGTTGAGGAGGATGCATAATTGTTGACATAATTATCTTTGTCTATAAGGATCAATAACAAGTATAATGTCAATTGGAGTTGCACAGGCAGTTGCTGGGCAGATGTCCTTGCAGAAGTACTTTAAGTTTGTAGGGGTCTTCGTGCAAGCTTGTGGATTTTGCAGTCTTATGATAGTTCTTGTTATTAGGGAATTGTGTGTCACCCTTCCCCCTCTTCATGGCCTGCCTCAGCTCCGTTTCCCAGGATCTTTAACACAAATCACCCCACTTTTATTCTGACAACATTCACAAGTTTAAATAAGACACATATGTCCAATTTTATTACACTTGTATCAACATTTCAAACTGACTGTTACGGTATTCCTGAAAATAGATAACTGATAAATCTATTTCTTCAACTTAATAATCAAGCATTTTATCCAGAGGTCATGTTTTCTTGTGCATCTTCCTGGTTCAACTAGATACTTTCTTTCTTAAAGATGAAGTTCTTTCATTAATATTCAGAGTCATGCTTTCCCCATAAACAGCAATTTAGTTGAGCAGCATTAAGTGGAACCAAGTCCAAAAGGCAATAATATAAATGTTAAACAAACAAACCAAAACCCTCCACCTGACCAGAATATCATCTTTGCATTTGATTTTCTAGAGAAAGAGATGAAAAATTCCAACGTTAAAAATTCTTCTATCTACCGCAATTCCCCAAGAATACATACATGAAATAAATTGTAGTAAATGCCTATTCAGTGCCTTTAGTAACAACAAGGTTTTTTTTTTTTTTCCTTTTGCTTTAAGTTGACATGTAATAATTACACAATTTATGGGATACTGAGTGATAGTTCAATACATGAATACAATGTGTCAGGATCAAATCAAGGCAATTAGCATATCCAATACCTCAAATATTTATCATTTCTTTGTGTTAGGAACATTCAAAATCCTCTCTTCTAAATTTTTGAAAATATACAATACATTATTTTAACTATATTCACTCTACTGCGCTATCAAGCATTAGAACATATTCCTATCTTGCTATAATTTTGTATCCATTAACCAACCTCTCCCCATCCTTCCTCACTCCTACCCTTTCCAGCCACTAATATCCACAATTCTACTCTCTACTAACATGAGGCATTTCTTTTTTCAGATTCTATAGATGAATGTGAACATGTGATATTTATCTTTCTGTGCCTGGCTTATTTCACTTAGCATAATATCCTCCAGGCTCATCCATGTTGCTGTGAATGGCAGGATTTTATTCTTTGTGGCTGAAGAATATTTTATTGTGTATCTATATGACATTTTCTTTACCTATTCATCTGTTATTGGGCATTTAAGTTGATTCCATATCTTGGCTGTTGTGAATAGTGCTGCAATAAACATGGGGGTACAAAGGTCTTTCTGACATATTGCATTCCTTTCCTTTGGATACCAGGTAGTGGGACTGCTGGATCATATGGTAGCTCTATTTTTAGTATTTTGAGAAAACTTCATATTATTTTCCATTGTAATAATTTACATTTCTGCCAACAGTGCTAAAAAGTCTCTTTTTCCCCTCATCCTACTTAGCATTTGTTACTTTTTGTCTTTTTGATAACAGCCATTCTAACTGGGAGTATATCATATCTAATTGTGGTTTTGTTTGCATTTCCCTGATAAGTGATGTTAAGCATTTTTTTCATATATTTGTCGAATATTTGTATGTTTTTTTTTTGAGAAAAGTCTGTTCCAATTCTTTGCCCATTTTTAAATCAAATTATTAGTTTTTGCTGTGAAGTTGTTTGAATTCCTTGTGCATTACAGATATTAGTTCCTTGTGGAATAAATAGTTTGCAAATTTTTTCCCCCATTCTACTGTTTCTTTCTTTACTTTGTTGATGATTCCTTTGCTATGCAGCAGCCTTTTTGTTTGATATATTCTTATTTGTCTATTTTGTTTTTATTGCCCTTGTTTTTGAAGTCATACCCATAAAACTTTTGCTTGGATCAATGTCTTGAAGTATTTCCCCTGCATTTTCCTCCAGGAGTTTTATATTTTCAGGTCTTATGTTTAAATCTTTCAGACATTTTGAATTGGTTTAGTGTATGATGAGAGATAGTGGCCTAATTTTATTCTTCTGCATAGGGATGTCCAGTTTTCCCGACACGATTTATTGAAAAGAGTGTCCTTTCCCCAATGTATGTTCTTGGTGCCTTTGTCAAAAAGTAGTTGGCTGTAAGTATGTGAATTTATCTCTGCCTTCTGTTTTCTGTTCCATTGGTCTACGTGTCTGTGTATATACCAATACTGTGCTGTTTTGGTTGCTATAGCTTTGTAGTACATTTTGAAGTCAGGTAGTGTGATGTCTCCAGCTTTGTTCATTTTGCTCAGTATTTCTTTGGCTATTCAGAATATTTTCTGGTTCCATAAACATTTTAGGGCTGTCCATTTTTTTTATTTCTTTGCAGAATATCATTTGTATTTTGATAGGGATCACATTGAATCTGTGTTTGCATTGTGTAATATGGTCATTTTAACAGTGTTAAATCTTCCAATGAATTAGCATGGGATGACTTTCCCGTTTGTGTGTCCTTTGAAATTTCTTTCATAGGTGTTTTCTAATTTTCATCGTAGAGATCTTTCACTTTTTGATTAAGTTAATTTCTAGTTATTTTATTTTGTAGCTATTGGAAGTGATTTCTGATTTCTTTTTTAGCTCATTTGTTATTTGTATATAGAAACACTACTAATTTTTGTATGTTGGATGTTGGATTTCTATCCTGCATCTTACTGAATTTATCAGTTTTTTGGTTTGTTTCGTTGTTTTTTGAGACGGAGTCTCACTCTGTCACCCAGGCTAGAGTGCAGCGGCACTATCTCGGCTCACTGCAACCTTCATCTCCCGGGATCAAGCGATTCTCCTGCTGTAGCCTCTCGAGTAGCTGGCATTAGAGGCGCCCGCCACCATGCCTGGCTAACTTTTGTATTTTTAGTAGAGATGGGGTTTTGTGCCCAGCCTATCAGTTTCAAGAGCTGGGTTTTTTTCTGTGGAATTTTTATTTTTTTTTTTAATCATATAACATTATATCATTTAAAGAGGGGCAATTTGACTTTTCTTTTCTCAATTTGAATCCCCTTTCTTTCTTTCTCTTGCTTGATTGTTCTGGTTAGGACTTCCAGGACTACGTTAAATATGAGTGATGAAAGTGGGAATTCTTGTCCTGCTCCAGTTCTTACAGAAAAGTCTTTCAGCTTTTCCTCATTCATTATGATCTTAGCTCCCACACTAGTTTTTGGAACACAAACTTCCAGCTGTCTGGCAATAAATAGCGGAAAACATAGAGTAAGTAATAATTCACATTTATGTTGAAATATATTATTAACTTCAAAATTCTCATATTTTTGTGTCATATGTATAGCCATGATAAAACTAACACCTTATGTTCAACACAGTCCCTTTTGTTTGTTTGTTCGTTTGTGTCTTTGGGAAATGACTGTGGCAATGTTTTCTTTGAAGTCTAAGAAAGCCCCTGCCTTAAATGTAACATAAAAAAAAAGAAGAAAGAAAGAAAGAAAGAAAGAAAGAAAAAAGAAAGAAAGAAAGAAAAGAATATCAGTCATGAAAGACATTAGGGAATGTTATGAGTTGGATTTCATTTTACCCCAAATTTATATCTTGAAGTCCTAACTTCCATTATCTCAGAATGTGACTGTATTTGGTAACGGGGTCTTTATGAGATAATTGAGGTAAAATGAAGTCATTTTGATGGGCCTAATCCAATAGGACTAGGGTCCTTATGAGATGAGGAGATCCGGACACAGACACACTCAAAGGGATAACCACATGAGGACGCAGGGAAAAGATGACATCTACAAACCAAGGAAAGAGTCCGCAGTAGGAACCAGCTCTGTGGACACCTTGATCTTGGACTTCCAGCCTCCAGGATTGTGAGAGAATAACATCTGTTGTTTAAGCTACCTAGCCTGTGATCCTCTGTTATGGCAGCCCAAGTAAACTATTAAGTAGGTAATCATGAGTAATATGTGTAGTGATATTCATTATGATGACTGATTAAGAGAGAAAGAATGTATAGTTTAACATAGAAATTATTTCAGAGACTCATTAGAAACCCTAGTCTTATTTATAACAGAGAATTTTCTCTAAAGGAAAATCCTTCTGGCATCCAAGGCTACTATAATTCCAAGGCTAATTTTCTTTCACCAAATTGAAGGCATTAATGACATCTTTTGAGGGTTTGGTCCCTTCTGCTCCTCCTTCATGGCTCCTCCTTCATGGATCCCAAAGAGGAAGAAAAGGACTCTGCTTGTCCATTTAGGAAACCCTTCCGTATTTTTGTGGATGGCTGTCTCTCATGTAGGTTGCTCTGAAGTTTTGTTTCCTTATCTGAAGATGGCCAGTTGCGTGGCTATATGTTGTTCGTTTGCTCATGTGTTCAATTTTTAATTAAAGTTTCTTTTTTATTCTGAGATAATTGTAGATGCTCATGTGATGTAGGAGATAATAGACAGAGATCTAATTACATTTTTACCAAGTTTCCTTCAGTTATAGCATCTTCATATTTATAATACAGTATCACCTCCAAGATACAGACCGTGGATACAGTCAGATATTGACCATGACAAAAATCCCTGCTTTTAACGTTTCATAGCCACTGGTACTTTCCTTCCTTTCTCAACCTCTCCATTATCCCAAGCCACCACTCATCGGTTCCTAATTGATAAAACTTCGTTTTTATTTCAAAAATGTAGTATAACTGGGAACAAGCAATATATAACTTTTTGGGATTGGCTTTATTCTTTTAGTAGAATTCCCTTGAGATTCATCCAAGCTGACGCATATATCAATAGTTTGTTTCTTTTTAATTGCCAACTGATATCTTATGGTATGGATACACCATTATTTGCTTAACAATTCATTTGCTGAAGGACAAGTTGGCAGTTTTCAGTTTGGTACTATATGAATAAAGCTGCTAGGAATATTTATGTATGGGATTTTGTGTGGATATAAGTTTCCACTTTTTCTGGAATCAATGTCCAAAAGTGCTGGGTTCAATAGTGGTTGCTTATGTATTTATTTGCAGAAATTGCTCAACTGTGTTCTAGAGTGGCTGTTTCACTTTGCATTCCTATAGAAATATATGGGTGATTGAGTTTCCACATTTTTGCCAGCATTCAGCATTTAATGTTGTCACAATTTTTTTTTTTTTGGTCAGTCTCATAAGTGTGTAGTGATATTTCACTGTAATTTTAACTTGCATTTCTGTAGTACCTGATAACATTAAACGTGTTTTCATCTGTTTATTTGCCATCTGTAAAACCTCTTCGGTGAAAATTCCAATTTTTGCTTATCCATTTTCTTTTTTCTTTCTTTTTTTTTTTTTTTTTTTGAGTTGGAGTTTTGCTCTTGTTGCCTGGGCTGGAGTGCAATGGCGCGATCTTGGCTCACTGAAACCTCTGCCTCCCAGGTTCAAGCGATTCTCCTGTCTCAGCCTCCTGAATAGCTGGGATTACAGGCACCTGCCACTATACCCGGCTAATTTTTTGTATTTTTAGTAGAGATGGGGTTTCACCACCTTGGCCAGGCTGGTCTTGAACTCCTTACCTCGGGTGAACCAGCCGCCTCAGCCTCCCAAAGTGCTGGGATTACAGGCGTGAGCCACCATGCCAAGCCTGCTTATCCATCTTCTAACTGGATTGTGTGGCTCATTCTACCACTGAGTTTAAAGAATTCTTTATATGCACTAGGTACTAGTTTTTTGTCAGGTATGAGGTTTGCAAATAGTTTCCCAGCCAGTGTGTTTTCAAAATATCATTTTCTTATTTATTTAATTTTCTATTAGATTTCAAAAAGGAAGTATTTTGAGACCTGGCTTCCTTGCAATTTTATCGTGTAACATTCAACATTTTGTGAAGAGTACTATATATATTTTGTTTTCACAGATTTCTATTATAAAAGGAGATATGTTTGCTTGTCATCTAATTTAATAATGCAATTTTATTCAAAACCTGAAATGAATTATTGTATAATTCACATTATATTACTGTCTAAGGATGTTTGTGAACTCTCAATAATTTTTCTGTGATTCAATTTGCTATAATTATGTTATTTCATAATTCAATATACACCTAAACTTGAACATGTTAAAGAACAAAGCCATGCAGTTTATATTTTGTTATTATAACAGCACTGAAAAAAGTATTGTGAAAAATAAGCCTCAAATATATGTATTCATTAGAATTTCTTATTTTGTTATTTATTTTTGTTGAGAACTCTGACATAAAATATGTGTGTATGTTAGGGGTGAGGTGGGAGGGCCAAAAAACGTCTATTCACTTTGACTACTTGGTCCTTCTAATGAAAAGTGTTCTTAACTCTGATAATCAAGTACACAACTATTTTTAAATTGTACTATTTTAAAATTGTATAATTTAAAAATAGTTGTATACCTGATAATGTATGACATCTGTATATGTGTTGCATATTTTGATGATTAAAATGGATATATCCAAATGATGAATGAATGTTTTCTAATATTAACACAGTAAGCAAAACCAAAATGCTCATCTCAAAAAATGCAATACTCCTTGATAAAAATTGGATGCTATTTCTATATTTTAAAATAAGAAAAATAATTAGGACTTTAGAAGAAAAAAACCCTCACCTTATGTTTATACTTGATGATGGAACATGCAACCTCTTCCTTCAAAATCAAGAAGAAAGCAAGCACATATATTATCTTGTACATGTTCAATATTGCATGTAAGATCCTAGTCAGCTTAGGATAAAACATCGAAGTTGTGAAGAGGAAAACATGAAAATAATTTTCGTAGATAAACTGAAGTACAAATGATAAAAATAAACAGATACATTGTAAAATTAATAGTTTAGGCATCACTTGATATAAGACCTTACGATCACACAAAAAAGAAACCCAAATACTTTCCCACTGGACAGAAGAAAGATATAGAATGTTGTTTTTTTTTAATAAAAAAGTGAAAATCATTTACAATAACAATGTACACCATGCATGGAAATTAATCTAGTAAAATATTTGCATGGCGTATTGTACTTTGGGGAGAAAATTATAAATTTGTATTAAAACCTAGAAGAAACAAGTGTATTATTCCTTCTACTTCTTTTTTGTTTTCCTGATTACTATCTAACACATTTTTCCTGCAAGGGACTGAGTCAAGAATGTCCATAACGTGATTAATGCACATTACAGAGAAGGTAGACAAGTCTGTGGGAATATGGCATAATTACAATACAAAGAGACAAAACTCAGCCACAGAGGAAAGGACTTTTGAATAATGCAGAAAATTCCTGCAAGAAAATCTCTTACAGGCTTACATATTGTCTCTGTGTACAATCCAAAAGCCATAATGGCTTTCTCCTCTGTAAACAAAAGACGCTTGTGGAAATCCTATTTTTATAAAATCTATATTTTCTAAAGCTCATACATTAAGTAGACTTCTTTGGTATGTGATGCACTGAGGACAGAAGCAGAAATACAGATGCTGGCCTTGGTAGAGGTGATGTAGAAAGGTTATGTTTAAGGGATTGACCTTAAAATCTCTTCAGACATCCAAGCTGAAAACACTCTGTAGTTTAGAAATCAACACAAATACAAAGTGTTTACAATCCAGGCAGAAGCATGAGCTAGTATGCTACATGAAATCAGAAAATAATAAGTGAAAACAATTCTGTCAATTCTGATGAAAACAGAAACATCTTCCTAGTTATGGAATACATCTATTAACAAAGGTGAAATATTAATACCAAAGGCAGGCTAAAAGTATCACTGCTTAAAATGTAGTATCTCAATCTATTTTTTTCAATAAGCTCAATTATTCTTAATTTGTTCCCTTATAGACTATATCAAAGATTTATTAAAATATTCAAGCAATTTTTCAGCATACAATCTGCAAGAAAAACGTTTTATCACCTTCCATAAGACGGCATGATTTGTAAGAACATGAGGTGACCGGTTCTGTTAAAGACTGATAAGGTTGGGCTGTGTCCCCATCCAAATCTCATCTTGAATTATAGCTCCCATAATTCCCACATGCTGTGGGAGGGACCCTGTGGGAGACAATTGAATCACGGGGGCAGTTTCCTCCATACTATTCTCATGGTACAGAATTAATCTCACAAGATCTGCTGGTTTTATAAGGGGAAACGCCTTTCACTTGGCTCTCATTTTCTCTTGCCTGCCACCATGTAAAGACATGCCTTTCACCTTCTGCCATGATTGTGAGGCCTCCCCAGCCATGTGGAACTGTGAGTCCATTAAAACTCTTTTCCTTTGTAAATTACTCAGTCTCAGTCTCAGGTATGTCTTTATCAGCAGCATGAGAACAGACTAATAGAAGCATGTCCCACTAGTATGTGTTGAGCACCTGGACATGGGTTAAAAATGAGAAGAAGAAAAAATGAAGGATGTTTATTTTAAATCTGCCCTAGTTATCTATTAATATTCAAGTAAGTCCCTAGAGCAACTTGTTAAAATCCAAATTCTAGTTCTATAGGTGAGGGGTTTGCTTCCAGCTTATATTTTTGTATCTTTCGGTTTTATTGAGATATAGTTGACAAATAAAAATTGTATATATTTAAAGTGTTCTACTTGATGTTTTGATATATGCATACATTGTGAAACAATCACCACAATCAAGCTAATTAACAGATCCATCATCTGACATTTTCTTCCCCTCCTCTACTTCTTCCTCTTCCTCTTTCTTCTTTAGTAGTGAGACACTTACAGTCTATCCTCTTAGTGACTTTCAAGTATACAGTACAGTATTGGTTCAAATGGTCTCTACGCTGTGCATTAGGTCTTCAGAACTTACTCATCCTGCATAACCAAAACTTTGTACCCTTTGGCAAATAGCTCCCTATTCTCTCCAGGGTCCAGCCCCTGATAACCACCATTCTACTCTCTGTTTCTATGAGTTTGATTATTTTAAATTCCACATAGTATTAGTCTGTTATCACACTGCTAATGAAGACATACTCAAGACTGGGTAATTTATAAAGGAAAGAGGTTTAATTGACTCACAGTTCAGCATGGCTGGGGAGGCCTCAGAAACTTACAATCATGGCAAAAGGGGAAGCAAACACATCCTCCTTCACATAGTGGCAGCAAGGAGTGCCAAACAAAAGGGGGAAAAGCCCCTTATAAAACCATCAGATCTTGTGAGAACTCACTCATTATGAGAACAGCATGAGGGTAACTTCCCCATGATTAAATTGTCTCCCACTAGGTCCCTCCCACAATATGTGGGGATTATGAGAACTACAATTCAAGATGAGATTTGGGTAGGGACACAGCCAAACCATATCACACATATACTTGGAATCATGCAGTATTTGCTCTTTTGTTCCTGGATTACTTATAAACCACCTGATATGGTTTGGCTCTGTGTCCCCACCCAAATCTTATGTCAAATTGTAATCTGCAAAGTTGGGAGAGGGACCTGCTGGGAGGTGATTGGATCATGTGGACGGATATTCCCCTTGCTGTTCTCATGATGGTGAGTGAGTTCTCATAAGATCTTGTTGTTTAAAAGTGTGTGGCACCTCCTGCTGCGCTCTCTCTTTCCTGGGCATGTGAATACGTGCTTGCTTCCCCTTTGCCTTCTGCCATGATTGTAAGTTTCCTGAGACCTCCCCAACCATGCTTCCTGAACAGCCTGCAGAGCCATGAGCCAATTAAACCTCTTTTCTTTATAAACTACCCAGTCTCAGGTACTTCTTTATAGCAGTGTGAGAAGGGACTAATAGACTATCCTACCAAAAAACAAAGAAAATCCTTTTTATAGCACGTTCTTCTGCCCCTACCTTAAACTCTCTTTGCTAAGACCTTTGGACTGGCTTTGAAAACCAACTGTGAGTAGGCTTCACTTTTGTATCCAAGCTTACTTAGCTCCTACAACTGCTACATTAGTGTTCTGTGATATCAAGTTTGCATTCATTTATTTGTATAATTCCTTCTTTCCTTCCACAAACCCATTTTGAGGGGTCGCAGCTTCCCAGGTACTATGTTAGATAATTTATGAGATCATCTGCTCATGCTTTGAAAACCAATAACGTTGATTTCTCTAGGACTACCTGTGAGGGAACGTCCGCTGTGGCTTTATGAATGGAAGGGAGAGGCTGTCTTGGCATCAAGACATTCACAACGAGAAATTTGGTGTGAAAGACTATAGTTACAATATTCAAAGTTGATTAGATATAAAATTGATGAAAAACCTTGAAAACCAAACATTCTTGCATCTACAAGAAAGACAAATTCCTCTGTCCCTTAGGCTAAACTTGACAAAAACTACAATACAATTGCCCCACAAAATAAACTCTTCTAAAGATTATATAAATAAAAACATAGGTACACAATTACTATCTGTACACTGTGTATTATAAGTGTATATGCATATATTTACAATACTATATACAAAGTATACAATATAGCATATTGTATTTATATTACAACAGGGTATACATATATTGATATATATATTATATATAATATGCATGGGTACAATACTATATAATATATTAGATATAATATATACATGTAATATAGGTATATAGATAATACAAGTGCAAAAGTGTATAGGTAAGATATTACATATTAAAATGATAATATATTATATATTATAGTATTACATACAGTATGCATATATATGTGTAAACAAAAAATGATATAGATAATTTTATTTTATCCTTTGGACTAGAGGTTGTAGTTTAAAAAAGTTATTTTATTCTTGTATACAAACATGCACACACAATGATTTTGTCCTTTTAATAATGTTTTCGGCCAAAAATAAAGTAGTCTTACTACATTTTTCTGCAGCAACCTTTCCTAATAAGTTAAATTTTCTTCAGAATTCATGATTAAGCCCAGCCAACATAAATTCAGAGGAAGGTAATTTGACTCTCAACATTTTAAAAAACCCTGCAAATATGCTTTATGATTATTAAAGGTGCATCTGCATCCGACAAACTCCCTCTCGTCTTTCTCATTTTTATTAGGCACGCTGACTTCATAGCAGCCCCTGTGGTTCTCATCTTCCCCAGTGGCTTCTGAGACACTGCAAGCCTTCAAATCAAAGCAGGTCTACTCCTCTAGAATGAGAATGAGGAGATTTATTTCCTGCCAAGTATTCAGGAGTGCTTGAGAGGACAGAGTGTGCTTTCTCAAGACTCTTCAACAAAATATCTCTAACAAACACGTGGAGAGGTTAAAAGAGAATTATATATCCGTTCGCGTTTTAAGAAATGCTTAAGAATTCCCACTGGGTTGGATCAGTCTATAATCTGTAAAATACTGAAGTAGTGTTTACAACACCACGAACATTTCTTTTTAAATCATGGAAAGCGAATACCGTCAGTATTGTGATTTATAATCTAGAGATAAGCAGAATTCTCCACAACATGTCCTGCAGCAGCAAGAACTTCAACAATGTGTATGTGCTTGTGGTAGACCTAAAATATATGCCCCCAAAGTCCTAGACCTCCTGATTGTTGCAGGTGTGTGTCCCCAACCCTACATCTCCAACTCCCTGGATATTCCTGCACCAAGGCTCACTTTCAGAGTTCCTCCACTATCTCATTTTGCAGACCTGGGTCTTGAGCTTGGTTGGGTAGATGGTAGGTCAGCCTCCCCCACCTGGGTCTCTGATGTTGTCAATTTTTGACTCTCTCTTCCCTGAATTTCTGAAAGATTCATTGATGAGGAGATAAAGAAATGGCAACTTGATTCCCATTAATAGAGAGTTTTGGTAGGGTCTGTGTTTTTGGAGGGTCTGTATAGTAGTGTTTCAAGGAGCCCAATTTCCTGGACTTTGATTCTGCAAAGAGTTTGATTTACTGGGCAAGGGATCAAGTCCAGAGCCAGGGATTACAAAGGACAGGTCATTTCGAAGGTTTGGTGATGAGACTCCAATGAATCAGAAACAGTGTGAGAACCATAAGTGGCAATTGTGTCCAAATAATTTTGGTTGTCACAACAGGGAGGAAATTGACTTTTACCCACTGGCATAGAGTGGATGAAAGTCAATACAATGCAAAGATTTACTATTACCTTGCTCATAATGTCAACAGTGCTGAGGCTGAGAAACCTTGGAAGAACAGTAGTAGAAATGAAATCTCAGAACACCTGACATTTCTGGGAATGAAGCTGTCAGGCTACTGTTATGGTTAAGGACAGGGTCTCTATCAGGGAGGTGGGCCTGTATTAGGATTCTATAGAAGTTTGAGGTGCAGGTAATTCATGCACTGAGTCTTAGGATGTGCTGGAGAACAGCCCTGTATTCATTAGCTTGTATGCTTAGGGTCCTTCTTGTCCCACATTTCCACTAGCTGGGAATGTCCATATATTGGGTTCCAGAGTTTTTTCTTCAATACTTAAAGATGTTGAACTGCTCTGTCTTAGTCTGCTTTGTGTTGCTATAAAGGAATTCCTGAGGCTGAGTAATTTATTAACAAAAGAGGTTTATTTGGCTCATAGTTCTGCAGGCTGTGCAAGAAGCATGGTGCCAGCATCTGCTTCCAGGGGGACCTCAGGAAGTTTCACTCATGATGGAAGATGAAGGGGAGTTGGGAGTAGCACATGGAAGAAGACAGGGGGAAGTTTCTCGATGGTTTTTTCACTTTTTGAGGCAGAGTCTCACTCGGTTGCCCAGGCTGGAGGGCAGTGGTGTAATCATGGCTCACTGCAGCCTCAACCTCCTGGGCTCAAGCAATCCTCCCACCTCAGCCTCCTGAGTAGCTGGGTCCACTGGTGTGCACCATCATGCCTGGGTAACTTTTTTTTTTTTTCTAGAGATAAGATCTCACTATGTTGTCCAAGTTGGCTTCAAACTCCTGGTCTAAGTGATCCTCCCGCCTTGGCCTCCTAAAGGGCTGGGAATATAAGTGTGACCCACTGAGCCCAGCACAGACTTTTTTTAAACCATCAGATCTCATAGGAATTAATAGAGTGAGAACTCACTTGTTATTGCAATGACAGCACCAAGCCATGTATGTGGGATCCATCCCCATGACCCAAACACCTCCTACCAAGCCCTGCCTCCAACAATGGGGATCAAATTTCAACATAAGATTTGGCAGGAACAAATATCCAAACTATATGTACCCTGCCCCATTTCCTAAGGCCGGCCTGGATATACTCATTGAAGCTATTTGAGAAGGCCCTGAAGAAAAGGACCATGTCAAGAGAGTTTACTAAAACAACCACTTTGCGTACATCTGGTTTACATAGGCAATCGTTAATTTTTTGCATCTGGAACTGAGGTTCAAACTCTGCTCTTCCTTCCAAAAGTGGGTTTTACACACACATAAGTGAGATATCAATGTTTAATATGTTTTTTAAAATGAGCTGCTGTTCATCAATGGATCCTAGCAGTGGATCAAGGAACGTTGTTGTGTTTATGTGTTTCTCTATTGTTCTAACATGTTTGCAGCACTAGTGGGCATTGTCTATTAGCTTCATTGTACACTCAGGCAGGGTAAAGAGACATGCAACCACAATAGTCTAACATTCCCTTTGCATGTGTTCTTCAGGGGCATCATTGTTTTATGCGGATTTCCCCTGAAGGCCTGATATAAAAAGAACGTGTTTTCATGTGGATTATTTGTTTTTCTGCTTTGTTCATCTTTGCAATCAGATGTCAATGATAGGTGCTTTCCCTGAAGTGATCTGGGTCTGATTCTAGTTGTATCTGAATGAGCTATCAATGTTGCTGTGGAGTATCAGATGAATGCAGAGAATACATCCCAGGTACTCTCGATTCAAAAAGCACCATGTCTCAGGTGCTTTAGGAAATCCTTTCTAAGGCCAGGGAAGACTTAGCAGTCTCTCCTTAAATCAAGAATATATCATTCAAGCCAAATGAATATTATACACTATACAGCACACATATTGATATGCTCTTGAATGTATCTTATTACTTGACAGCAAACATATAATTTAAAAATTATTGAAACTGTGTAAAAAGGAAGCACGTAGAAATAAAATTTTAAAAATATGTTTGCTATAAACAAATATCATTTAAATATTATTTTTACTTCTCTGCATAATCACCTAAACATTTCACACATTATTGAGTGAATATATATGAGCAATATTAATTTTATATTTCAAATACACCTTTGGAACTTTGGTTGTAAAGCCATGTTTCTAATATTATCCAACTATTACATTACCATCCATATCTTGTATCACCATTTATATATTAATATATGCATACATATTATTAGCCTCAACCTCCCTGGCTCAAGCAATCCTCCTACCTCAGGCTCCCATGTAACTGGAACCAAAGACGTTCGCCACCATGACTGACTCATTTTTGCATTTTTTGTAGAGACAGCGTTTTGCTATGTTGCCAATGCATTCTCAAACTCCTGGGCTAAAGGGATCCGCCTGCCTTGGCCTCCCAATGTACTGGGATTACAGGCCTGAGCCACCCTGCCTGGCCCACTTAATCCTTAATGTGGCATGTGCTTCATACTCTCCTGGCTCCCCAGGGCTCTTTGATCTGGGCCACTATTTATGTCATTACATAGTGCTACTGTCTGAATATCAATGTCCCCCAAAAATTCCTGTGTTAAAATCCTCACCCCCAAGGCGATGGTGTTAGGAGGTGTGGCCTTTGGGAAGTGATGAGGTCATGAGGGTGAGCTTCACAGATAGGACTACTGCCCTTATAAAAGGCACTACAGAGAGCTTCCTCGCCCCTTCTGCCAGGTGAGGACACAGTGAGAAGGCTCTATCTATGTACCAGGAAGCAGGTTCCCACCAGACACAGAATCTACCATTACTTGATCTTGGACTTTCCGGACTCTAGATCTGTGAGCAATAAACGTCTGTTGTTTAAAAGCCACCCTATCTATGATGTTTTGTTAGAGAAGAAACAAACAAAAAAATGAATGGAACATACTTCACCACCAAAATCATTAACAACGTTGAACCCCATGCCAAATTATTCCATTTCTATACATGCAAAGAATCCCATTGGATTTAGGGTGGAAAGAAAAACATCTACTGCAGTTTTCTCACCAGGGAGAAAAGAGTTAGCCTTTTTTTTTTTAAAGCAGACTCTTAGTCTACTGAGTTTCATTATTTTGGATATATGGTATGGGAATAAAATATTCAATATTTGTCATAATGTTTTGATACATTGTTTTGATTCATTATAAAATATTTGTTAGTGAAAGATTATACATTTCAAAATAATCCACATCTCTTTATATCCCTCTGTCTCTGTCTCTCTGTCTCTGTCTGTCTCTCCCTCTCTCTTTATCTCTCTGTCTCTGTCTCTCTTTTTCTCTCTCTGTCTCTCCTTCACTTTTTCTCTTGTCTCTGTCTCCCCCTTTGATTTTTCTTTCTCTGTTTCTGTCTCTTCTTTTTCTCTATCTGTCTCTGTCTTTCTCTCTCCTTTTCTCTATCTGTCTCTGTCTTTCTCTCTCCTTTTCTCTGTCTCTGTTCTTCTCTCCCTCTCTTTTTCTCTTTCCATCTCTGCCTTTTCCTCCTTCTCTGTCTCTGTCTCTCTCTCCCTCGCTCTTTCTTTGTCTCTCTCTCCCTCTTTTCCTTTTTCTTTTTCTGCTTCCTCTCTCTCTCACACACATACACACAACTTTTAGAGCTCTCAACCGTCTTGAACTTAGGTTTCTTTACTCTCCTTCACTGTGCAACAAATTTCTGCCCCTATAATTCTAGCCACCTGACCTACAGCAAACACTTTTATTTATTTATTTATTTATTTATTTATTTATTTATTTATTTATTTATTATACTTTGAGTTCTAGGGCACATGTGCACAACGTGCAGGTTTCAAATTCTTAACTTGCATTCACGTTGACAGAACTCTTCTCTAACTTACATTTTTCTCAGAACATACAGGCATTTTATAATAATAATACATATATGTGCAAACATATAATGAGAGAGACATCATCAATTGCTACATGTTGTTTATCTCAACCTGGGCTTTTCCCTCCTTAAATTCACTATACTCTCACCTCCAGGCTTTCTACAAATGAGTCCTTTTCTATCATTTGTCGTATAAGTTTCCTGGGAACTCTTCATGCCTCATCTAAGAAGAATCTAAGATGTACAATCTAAAGCTAAGAAATTGTCTCCATTGTACAGACCTGCTGGTTTCTCTTTCACATCTCTGTGTCATCCAAGTTTAAGAATATATTACTTAAAAGATGTTACCATAAGATATGGCTATGTAAGGTCTCTTCAAATTTGTGACACATGGAAGTTACTAGGTTCTTTGCAAGCCTATGTCTCTATGATTTTACTATGCTGTTGCCATCTATTTTATCATAGTGTTATATTATCTACTTGAAATCAATATATGATTAAGCCAATCTACTAGGTTTTAAAAATGGTTAACTTAATGGAAAGTGGTTGGGAAAATAATAATTAATTTATTTGCTTTACGTCATATGGACAACAATAGATATAAAGTAATACCATCATTTTACTATCAAGCCTCCAAAAGTTCAATCCAAACCCCATTTTAAATATGGCAATTAGGGTAAAGACTTATGAATTTAGTGGCCATTTAAATGCATATTTCACAGTGGAAACCAACATTGACAGCTTTCTCTCTCTCTCTCTTTCTTTTTAAGACAAGGTCTTGCTCTGTCACCCAACCTGGAATGCAGTGGCATGATCACAGCTCATTGCAGCCTCAAACTCCTGGGTTCAAGCAATCCTCCCTCCTCAACCTCCCAAGTAGCTGGGACTAAGGTGTGTGCCACTATCCCTGGCTAATTTTTTATTTTTTATTTTTGTAGTGATGGGGTCTCACTATGTTGCCCAATACATATGGATGGCCCAATCATTATGGAATGACCCTAAATGGGAACATATATGGGGAGAAAAGTATGGAGCTAATGAGGAAATTAACATGTGAGAGGATAGAAAAGTGTCAGGGTTTGATGATACAGAGAAAGGTATCAAACCTAGAAGAGATTTGAAAGGTCAACTTGACTTTGTGGAACCACAGACTAAACAAGGCAGAAAACAATAACGAAAGCTTTTGCTTGTTCACCATTATAGGAGTGAGGCTAAGCAGAACTTCTGTGGATTTTGACCAAGGCCATGCATATGAGGCCATAATCATGAATTGTGTCATACTCAGTGGCCATGGCAAAAAGATAAGGTTTATACTATGAAGAGGCAAACTCATGACATTAGCATGCAGCAAAAGAAGGCAGACTGATCTGAGGTCCCCAGATCTCACCAGGAGGGGCACAGCTGGGCATTCAGAGATCAGACAATGGAATCATGAGGTGGAGAGATTTGTTCTGAACATGACAGGATGTACTGAGCCTGGGGGGTCATGGCAGGCTGGGTCCTATACCCTCAAAACACCCACCCCAACCCCAACACCAAACATTGGTTATCATCAGTGTTAATAAGGGATCGAGTCTTTGTGAATCAGCCTTGATCCTTGAAATCCAGGGGATTTCAGTGCACAGAGACATGAATCCTAATAGAACAGTAAGTGATGTATCAGCCAAGCAGAATTCTTTTGTGACTTCTCTAAGCCATTTGGGGTAAAAAGTGTTTCATCATTTTAAGTCAATTCATGATTATAACTCAACACGTAATCTTTTTTTCTGAAAGTTCTCATGGATCCCTGTTCAATCCATGCATTTCTGATCAAGTAATTTAATGAGTATTGTTCTCAATGCAGATGTGCATGAATTGAACAGTTATCAATCTGATGACTTAGTTTAAGGTTTTCCCCTTAAATAAAGATTCTCATGGCCATTGTTGAGTTCCTCTGGATTCACATAATCTAGAAAAAGATTTCCCTTCAAAGTCTGGAATCCCCCTTTTAAAATAAAATTACAATTGCTTTAGCAATTTAACTTTATTGTTCTTGACTTTACAGATGGTTGTCTTTACACATATAACTTTCAGAGCTAGATATTCATTTTATTTTTATTTACTTTGACATTGTTATATTAGGTAGTCAGTATCACTACCTTTTACTGTCTAATAAAAAGCAAACATTGTATTTTTGCTTTATGTAATTTTGGCATTGTGACTTCACATGAGGTATTCTCATTGTTACTTTTGAAATAATAATAGAAATGAAACTAAGAAGTTAAGTGAGGAGTAAAGTCTTCTGGGAGAAAACTTCCAAATCATTCAACAAAGCTGTACAGCAGTATTTCTCATCTCCACTTTTAAATATACTGACAGTATTTTATTAAGTAGACTATAACCATGTATATATTTAAAAACTGTTTAGAAGCAATGATTATTTACTAATCTAGAAGTATTTAGATAAACAGTAGAGGCACGTGAGATTACAGAACTGTTTAAAAAACAAATGTTTTTTGAAATGTCATTATGAATTAAGGAAAAGAGATGGTTATACGCTAACATGAATTGCAAGCAGAAAGAAATTCGGGGAGAAGTTTCCTAGAGTGACATTATCTTGTACTAATATATCACCTGATTATTTAATGGCATCTATAATAATCAATAGAAATAATTAAGCTAGTATATTGCTATTAAAAGGTAGGTATCAGTGAATAGACACACATACATTCATATAAATACATTAGAGAAATACATTATGTAAAACTATTTAGAGACATAAAAATGACTGTATTAGTCTGTTCTCACATTGCTATAAAGAACTACCAGAGACTGGGTACTTTGTGGAGAAAAGAGGTTTAATTGACTCACAGTTCTGCAGGCTGCACAGAAGCATGGCTGGGAGCAGGTCTCAGGAAACTTACAATCATGGTAGAAGATTAAGGAGAAGCAAGCACCTTCTTCACAAGGTGGCAGGAGAGAGAGAGAGAAAGGGGAAGGTGCCACACACTTTTTGTGTTGAAGAATCAAAGGCCAGAATGAAAGACACTTTTTGCATCCCAAAGGAAAATTGCAATTCAGAAAGACACTGATGGCTTTTTTAGCAGCATCTATTCATCTGCTCCCCAAAGGCATGGGGTCATGTAATTTTGAGAGTATTGACTGTATTCGCAATGCATAGAAGTCATGTATAATAATTTAGGGGACAGTGACTCCGTTCACAGTTCCAGAGGTAAATCCCTCTCCAATTGACTAAAACCAATCAGAACATCCTACTCTTGCCCGGGATCGTTTCAGAGATGGGCAAAAATCTCATCCTAAGCCAATCAGAGTACAGCACTTCCCTCGGCTATGGTAACTGATTCAGAGATGGGCATGTGACCTGTTTGCTCATTTAGAGGGAAACCTAGGATTTTGTTTGGTAGTTGAGATAAAGACACTTTTCTTCAGGAAGATGTGGTGTACAGAACTGTTCCAGACATTTTGTCACCATGATAAAAGTGAGCCTAAAAAGTAAACCATCATGTGAAGGAAAGCAAAATCAAGAGAACTGCAGAGCAATGGAGTCAGCGCCCTGATCAAGCCATTCCTGAAACTAGTGTTGACCTATTTTTATTTACATGAATCAATAAACTCCTTTCACTGTTCACATTATTTTAAGCTGGGGTATTCTCCTGAGAACTCTGTCATGAGACAGCACTAGGGGGATGGTGCCAAACCATTAGAAATCACACCCATGATCCAATCTCCCCCCACCAGGCCCCACCAGGCCCCGCCTCCAACACTGGGAATTACAATTCAGCATGAGATTTGGGTGTGGACACAGAGATAAACCACATTAATGACTCAGCAGATTTTTTTTACTCTGGTTTTCAAGATGTTTGCCATCAAGGTAGCTAATGTCAGAGGTAATTATTAGCAGAATTGTGTTCCTTAAAGAACTATTGGGTTTTTCAGAGGATGTAGTTGTTTTAAGCTATAGACCAGAAATGTGTTTCTTTCAAATCAAAAATTCTAGACATTATTCAAAGACACTGTCTTCTTGGAACCTGGGTCACAGAGAAAATGTGATTTTACTAAAATGTTATTATTTGGCCTTTCCGGCTATATATCAAGTGAAATAAAAGTGGTTTGTTAAAATAGAACAGCCTCACTCTCGGTTAAAAGAAACATCTTGTTTATGTTGTAATTGTTTTGTCCATTATTTTTGCTTATGGTTTTGTCAATTATTTGTCAATTGTTTTGTTTAATTATTCTTCAGATGAGCAATAAAAATTAATATCAGAGTTTAAACGGTCTCATTATTAAAAAGGAAACATGATCTTCAGCACTCCATCGGCCTGAATTAGACTCAATAGAACAGATTCATACCACATAACAACCTAACTTCTCTCTGCTTTGCAATGATGCATAATTTTAAAACACGATTAGCAAAGAGTCTATGTACTATTTGTGCTGCCTTGGGAAATGGACTGCTAGCTTTCTGGTGAAATCGCAAATATCACACATTTAATAGACAGAATATCAACGGTTCATAATTATTGAGGAAACAGTGAAGATTTTAGCTTCACTGTGGTTTTTAGATTTGAACATCAGATATGAAAACATTTGTTGGCCTGTAATTTTTTATTTGCTCAACTTTTGATATTTTGGGGGAGTTTTAATAAATATTTCCATGAAAGTATTCAAGTAAAGTGCCATGAATCTTTGCACAGCGATCACTGCCTCATCAGGGTGCTGCGGTGCAGCAAGATTTATTTATGTGCTGCTGCACTGACAGTGTTCTCAAGAGGGAAGGGTTGGTTATTCCATTCTGCCACAAATTGATAAATAACACTCATGTGTTTTGCCGTGGAACTTCTTCAAGAAGATGGATGTGATGTCTGTATCAGCTCAAACTTATCAGCTTGAGTGAAGATGAGACACATCCATGTTCCTGCAGAACTTGAGTCTGGTCCAAATTCAATCACCTGGATGCAGGTGTAATGTCCCCCAGTGGAATGGGTGCACCATGAACTGGAAATCAGCTGCCCACACACCACCATGGATGGAGCACGTGGTTATGCATGTATCCTTGAATTTGATATTTTTTGTTTGTTTGTTTTTATCTGTAAACTGTGCATAAGGGAGTAGATGTTCTCTCTGTTTCCCTCACTCTCTAGCATTTGCCCCAAAGTGGAGGGTGGAAATCTGATAATATTAATGAATTAAGCATTATTTTATCATTTCATTTTACCCACAGGTACATATCCTCTTCTGGAAGAGACTGAAGGTAGCATCCTCTTCAATGCTGCCTGTTAGACTGAGAAGGCACCAGTGAGGTTCTGTTGGGTTATGCAGTGCTGTGGCATTCAGTAATTATGTCTGCGCTTCCTAGGAAGACCATCCTGTATGATGAAAACAAATATACAGCAACTTTACTGAGAAACGGAAGGTAACGAAAACTATTTTCACGTAAGTAACGGTGAAGCAGAAAATGGAAAACAGTCCATAACTTGGAGATATCTTTTTTTCTTTCTTTCTTTCTTTCTCACTCTGTTGCCCAGGCTGGAGTGCAGAGGTGTGATCATAGCTCATTGCAGCCTCTTGTTCCTGGGCTCAAGTGATTCTCCCACCTCAGCCTCTCCAGTAGCTGGGACTACAGACTAATTTTTAAAAATATTTAAAAGTTAGGCACACTTGGCTAATGTATAAAATATTTTTCTTGTGGATACACGGTCTCACTATGTTGCCCAGGCTGGTCTGGAACTCCTGGACTCAAGTGATCCTTTCATCTTGGCATCCCACAGTGCTAGGATTACAAGTGTGAGCCACTGCACCCAGCCAATATCTTAATTATAAAAAGTGAATTGCAGCTTCCTAAAAAGTGGGGCAGTCATCAAGGTGATGCAATATGCTAATTTTTGTATATATGTTGGTCAGTGTTTATTTTCAAAGCAATGGAGTGAAAGGAGAATGGTGGCATTTTCAACTAGCCATTTTCAAGGTGTGGTTTATTGATTACTACTTCCATTAGATTCACCTGAAGGCTTTTAAATATCCACTTCATTAGCTTCTTTTTAAACTTGCTGGACCAGAAATACTGCAGAATGATTCACGTGGCCCTGCATGTTTAAGAAGCAAGATATACATGCCAAGTTTCGAGAGACATAAACCTTAAAGGGTCATGGGTAGAGTTGGAAAGCAATGTCCAAAGTTCTGCATGGCCTCCTTGTGTCTAGAATCAGCTCCCAAAAAGGGGAAGGTGGTAGAAAATCATGTTGACTCTTGGGAGGCAGGCCCTACCTTTTGAAGATTTGGAACTTCAGGACTCCAGTCAAGTAGACTGGGGATGAAAATTATTTCTCTAAACCCAGCAAGGGAAAACAGAGTACTAGGAAGATGTAAGGGCTTGTAAAATACAGATGAAAGGGCAATATTGTTTTGGAAGTTTCTCTAGAGGGAGTTGAGATTTGCCTCAGCCAGGCACCCAAAGTTTGAAAAGCTCATGTCAACATAAGCTTAAACTGGGAGGTAAGCCGAGTTACCAGGGACTTTATGGAATTTAGGCTAAGGAGGGATGGGTTAAAAAGTCAGTAATCAGAGGCTAGACCACCAAGGAAACTACATACTCCTGTTCCAGGCTGGGTGTGATAAATCCATGGGAAGATGGCAATAGGAATATGGAGGATTGAGTCTCGTGCTTGAGATCTGTAGTGCAGAGTTTCTTGTAGAGTCTATCAAAATGGTGCATGACAAAACTTAGCTGGGTGTGGTGGCATGTACCTGTAGTCTCAGCTACTTGGGAGGCTGAGTGAGAGTATTGCTTGAGCCCAGGAAGTCAAGGCTGCAGTGAGCCAATATCACATCACTGCACTCCAGCCTGGGCAACAGAAGGAGACCCTGTCTCAAAAAAAGTTGGGGAAGGAGTGCACAGAGGGAAATTTTTTTTAATGGGCAAGGAGAAATGGGATTGATATCTTGCTCCTATAGAAGAGGTAGAGGAATGAGGAATAGAAGAGTTAGGCTTCAAAATTTACTTTACTTAGCAGCTGTTTCTGGGTAGCAAAGGCAGCTTCCTGATACACACTGATCATTTACATAAAAATAACAAACCCATCAGCAATATCCTTGAATATGACAGAGGATTATAAATACATAGAGTCTTTGATTTGAAAGAAATAACTGGTACTCTATTGTGATAAATAACTCTATAATTTTACAATGAAACAATAACAAAAATTGATGCAATTGTACTACTTAGCATCTCTTGCAGTTACAAAAGCATCACTATTAAAATATTGTATCTTTATCACATGATGGAGTTTCTTTGAAGTGTTTATGGCTGTCACAGAATTAACACTGACTTGTTATGTTGTAAACTGTCCTATGGGGTAGTATTATAGTCATAGTAATGCAATGAAATATAATGCTTTTTTAATGGAATTTTCTTTTTGTGATTTTTAAAGTCACTCAGTTTTCTTTTTCTTTGAAGAAAACTGACTGTTACTTTATAATACATTGTACTGAAAATATGGAAAAAAGACTTAAACAAAACACCTAATGGGCAAACACATTCAATGAATACTATGGGGAAAAAGAAAATATATTAATACGCACAAATCATCTTGTTAGAGTCCTCTCTGTGAGCCTCAAATGGTACACCAGGTAAAGTCAAGTAAATCTTTCTGTGTTATTTTCTTTGTTTGCCCTAAAAATATGCAAGGAGATGGAATTATCATTCTAAGTACCTTGTATTCTGTGAAGAAATCACATATAGGACAATGCTAGTTGTTTCCAAAAAATAGAGGAATGTGATCATTCAGTTCTGGGAATTCATAATCTATTTTAGAGTTTGGTTGAGGATAACTATGAATGCAATAGACAAGATGAAAATGAAAGGAATCAACATGTAGTGAATGGGCTGATACTAACAAGATGCACTAATTATGTCAAAGACATGTATACATGTATATTTGTCATATATATGACTTGCAAAGGCTCTATCAATGATATACATGTATATGAATATATACATCTGTGACATGTATACTTGTCTGTTTTAACTGTATAAATATATGAATACACACACATATGTACCTATTTATTAATATATGCACATGTGTATTTATTTATCTTTATGTATAATTATATAATTATATATAATTTTATTTATGCAATATTATAATTTAAAATTTATAATATTGCATAAGATTGTCTTAGAGACATAAGATTAAAATAATATAAAAATAATTATACATATTATATTTAATAGATATAAATATGGAAATGATATATTTATAAAAATACATAAGTAACTGTTATATAATCCTATATAAGTAATCATATATATTACTTATATAAAACATATATAATATCATATATTTTATGTACAGGGATTTCAAAAGGGATTGTGGTTTTCTGGTTTATACAATTAGCCATAGTGAAAGGGATTAACTAAAAGTCAGAATAAAGCAAGTCCAGAATACAGAATAGTTTCTTACTGGAATAATTCATGTTATTGAATACAAAATTTTGTGTTTCTTGCAGCTACAGTAGAAATTGAACCCGGTAGGAATTTTTTATTTTTTATTTATTTTTACTTTGTAGTTATTTATTTTTTCACTTTTGAAAATTCACTTCTTGCCTTGGAAGAATTTACCTGTAGGAATTTTTATTATCTGGTGAAGAAAATACACATTTGTCTCAAAAATCATTTTCTCTGGTGTTTCATTAAACAATAAATCAGTTTCATATTCCAAACATTGGAGTACTGGCAGATAAAATACGTCAATAAGAAATAAAGGTATAGCTGAGTTCAATGCCAATAGAAATTTTCCATGTGCAAAACGGGGTCTCACTGGGCTGCCTCGTGAGAAGCTGGGGAGTCTTTGACTAAAAGCCAGCAAAGGCAGCCACAAGGCTGGGTCTTCTTAGTAATTGAGACCAAATCATCCCACCTGTGGAAGGGAATGAAAGCTACCCTCACTGTGTGACCTTGAGGACCCAGGATAGAACCCTGAAGGGTGCAGGAAAGCAAACGAGCAAAAATAGCAAAACCAAAATCTTTGCACATTTCAATCCATCTCTCTTCATGCTCAAGATCCCAGGACTGCACTCCTTAGAGATGCTGTACTAGAAACAAGGGTTTTCCCCTTGCGACACCTGTCATAAAGTTCAACAGGCATGATGAGGTGCTTCCTAAAGTGATTGCAGGAACATTGAATAGTGCAGAGAGAACCTAATGCACCATTCACACTGTGTGGTGCACTTGAAAATATGGTTTATGTGGAGGAGTAGGATGGGAAGAAAGAAAAGGAGGATAGGAGCAAAGGGAAGGAAGAAAAGAAGGAAAGAAGCAAGGAAGGAAGGAGGAGGGAGAAGAAAAAAGAAGTAGGGAGGGAGAGAAGGAAGGAAAGAAAGGAGGGAGGGAAGAAAGAAAAAGAAAGAAAGAAAAAGAAGGAAAGAAAGAAAGAAAAAGAAAGAAGGAAAGAAAGAGAGAGAAAGAAAGAAAGGAAGGAGGGAAGGAAGGAGGGAAGGAAGAGACAGAAGGAGGGAGGGGAGGTAGGGAGGAAGGAAGGAGACAGGGAGAGAGGCATAGAAGATAGGAAGGGAAGAAGGGAGGGAGAAAGGAAGGAAAGAGAAAAGGAAATAAGGAGGGAAGGAAGGAGGGAAGGAAGAGACGGAGGGAGGGGAGGTAGGGAGGAAGGCAGGCAGGAAGGAAGGAGACAGGGAGAGAAGCATAGAGGATAGGAAGGGAAGGAGGGAGGGAGAAAGGAAGGAAAGAGAAAAGGAAGGAAATAAGGAAGGCAGAGGGAGGGAAGGAGGGAAGGAGGAAAGGAATGAAATAAGGAAGGAAGAAAGGGAAGGGGGAGGAGAGAGGAAGGGAGGGACATATGAAAAGAAGAAAAAGTGAAAGGGAAGAAGAAAGTGGAAAGAAGAAAAGGAAGGCAGGCAGGAAGGCAGGATGGCAGCTAGGCAGGAAGGCAGGCAGGAAGGAAGGAACTGACGTTTTCACCAAGAGGGTTCCTGTTCCCTTTTAAATCTATGCCTTCGATATCTTCCCAAGGGTAGAACCCTAGAGGCCTCTAGTTAAGGGGGAAGCCATCCAATTAGGAAGCGGCTCAGTGTCTGGTGTAGTCTGGTGTTCCAATAAAATATTGACACCTGCTAGGTTACTGAACAGGGGAAAGAGAAAGAAAATTTCATTAAAAATGGATAACATACGGATCAGGTATTTTTGAAATTGTTGTGTATAAATCTAAAGTGATCTGCTGAGGATGTATGAATAGGTTGTCAATTGCCAATGCAATTCTTTTTTTTTTTTTTTTTTTTTTGAGATGGAGTCTCACTCTGTCGCCCAGGCTGGAGTGCAGTCGCGCTAATCTCGGCTCACTGCAAGCTCCGCCTCCCGGGTTCACGCCATTCTCCTGCCTCAGCCTCCCGAGTAGCTCGGACTACAGGCTGCCGCCACCACGCCCAGCTAATTTTTTGTATCTTTAGTAGAGACGGGGTTTCACCGGGTTAGCCAGGATGGTCTCTATCTCCTGACCTAGTGATCCACCAGCCTCAGCCTCCCACAGTGCTGGGATTACAGGCATCAGCCACCGCGCCAGGCCAGCCAATGCAATTTTTGTCTGGTGGGATAGCCGGGATGTTGAGGAATAAAGTTCACATGTTATTGCAGATACGGACATTTCCAAGTGGTATTTTCATATTCATTCATTATAAAAGCCCTTAAATGAGCAACAAATAATTAAACAACTCTTTTAAATATTCCTCAGCCCTAGGAAGACATAAGGTTAACGCCACAGAATTATTATAAATAATGATAATAAAAAGAGCAAATGAGATAAAGCACCTATTTCAACCATAGAAGAAACTTAAAATAACCCCTCACATGGTTCGTTGTTAAAACTGAGTCTGTTCATTTGCCAAAATGATATATTCATAAAATACTTTCTGAAATATACAATAATTTCCTAGGGAATTACTTATTAATGTCGATCCCATCGTGTTTTCTAAGATCTATTGTTTTTGTTTCAGTAATACTGAAGCAAAGGTCATTTTCTTATAAGAATTATATGAATGCTCAAGGTATTCTTAAGGGCAGATTCTACGTTTTAATAAAATCCTATAATCAAATAAAAAATGATGTTTGTTTTCTTACTTGCTATAGCTGGAGGACATTTGCAGAAGAAACCAAACTGCTGTATTTTCAAAAGACATTTTTAGTTAAAATTTCTCTGCCTAATTGCCTCAAATAATTTCCTCCTGAATGTACCACGGGAAAGTGAAATGAAAAATTCTAAAGCACAGCCGTTTTGTTCTTCCTTAAAAGCATTTTTTATTCTTGTATGTTCCATCTTCGTTAAGGTCATCAGCCTTCACTCGGCTAAATAAGAAAGAAAACAAATTCATCTTCAATTCCTTTTGTAAATATACATTTTTTATTTTCAATAGCTTCAGGGGTCCAAGTGGTTTTTGTGTGCATGGGTGGATGCACAGTGGTGAAGTCTGGGATTTCAGTGCATCTGCCACCCGAGTAGTGTACATTGTACCCAATAGGCAGGTTTTCATCCCTCATCCCCATCCCACCCTTCCTGCTTCTGAGTCTCCAATGTCCATTATACAATTCTGTAGGCCTCTGTATACCCATAGCTTAGTTCCCGCCTCCTTTTATGCCTTTTGTATAATAACAATCAATTGCAGATTCTACATTTGCTGATAATTGAAATAACTCTCTTTAGCTCTATTTACAACACCTCTGATGTAGCTTATGTTTTTATTTGGAATTCTACAATACTGTCATCATTTTTAAAAACTAGATTGAAAATGGATTATTCACTAAAACATCATTTTTAGTGAGAAAAATGTATTCCATAACCTTACCATTTTCTAAAAAATACACAAAGTTTGATGTCAATGAACTCCCTTAAAAATGCCCCACCAAGGCCGGGCGCGGTGGCTCACGCCTGTAATCCCAGCACTTTGGGAGGCCGAGGCGGGCGGATCACGAGGTCAGGAGATCGAGACCATCCCGGCTAAAACGGTGAAACCCCGTCTCTACTAAAAATACAAAAAATTAGCCGGGCGTAGTGGCGGGCGCCTGTAGTCCCAGCTACTTGGGAGGCTGAGGCAGGAGAATGGCGTGAACCCGGGAGGCGGAGCTTGCAGTGAGCCGAGATCCCGCCACTGCACTCCAGCCTGGGCGACAGAGCGAGACTCCGTCTCAAAAAAAAAAAAAAAAAAAAAAATGCCCCACCAATAGTACCCATTATTAATAACCTGATGTGCAACTTCGATGTGCTTTTTAAAATGCGTATAACCAATGGACACACACACACACACACAAACACACAAACACATGCATTCCTACTATTTTATTATTGGCTTAATGGTGGCCTAGTAACAATCAACTGTAGAGTTTCTTACTATGAAATGTTCCTGCTATACACCTTTTAATGCACACATGTAATTATTTTTATAAAATTTATATAAAGTATATCAGTGGTGATCTATTTGACAATTCTTAATATAATACATATCACCAAATTATTTTCTATGAAATTTGCCTCAATTTACAGTCTTTCCAGCAATAAATGAGAAGGGTGAGAAGGAAGGGAGGGAGGAAAGGAAGGAAATAAGGAAGGAAGAAAATAAAGGAAGGAAGGAAGAGGCAGGAAGGAAGCAAGGGAGGGAGAGAGATAAGGAAAGAAGGAAAAGAGGGGGGGAGGGAAGAAGGAAGGAAGAGAGAAAAAAACTTCTACTTTTTCTTCTTCATGACATTGCGTCACAGAAAACTTCTTTCCAATATCATAGATTAAAAGCCTGTATTACTATTTTTATTTACATTTTTTGACTTCCAGTAAACCTGAGAACTTGAATGTATTTTTAAAGATAAGTTCATTGATCTTTTGTCATTCTAGTTACTTTTCTATTGTAGAAACATCTTTGCATATTAGCATATTAGTGAAATCTATCATCTATCTATCTATCTAGCTATCTATCTATCTGTATTTCTGTACATGTTTCTGTATTATGGTATGTTTTATTTCTGTATTATGGTATGTATTCTGTATTTCTGTATTATGGTATTTCTGTATTATGGTATGTATTTGACATAATTTCTTATAGTCTGGTGTTTATGTTATGATTCTATAATGCACTAATTATGAAACCCAATTTGTGTAGTCTTCTTAATGGATCCTTTTGTCACCCTTCATCTCCATAGTTTTTGTAATTACAAGCATGATAGTTTTGTTTTTAAAACACAATTATTCTCTTATTTTCCAGCATATAAAGATCACTCAATCCCCGTTCCTATTTTTCATCAATCCTATTCACTTTGATTTTTCAGCTTCTTGTGATCAAAAGCAGGAGATAATTTCCATGTTAGAGAGATCTCCTCGATTCCCATGAGGCCATCCGGAGCTAATCCTGGGGAATGAACTTTTATGTCAGCCACCTCTCTCCTCTTTGCCTCCAGACTTCAGGAATGAACTTTAGGGCCGCTCACAAGCAATACCAGGTGCATACTTATTAATAATCAGTTGCCTACATTTGCTCACTTACCAAAACATTCACCAAGGGTTTCACACTCTGTACTCAATTCCATGAGTGTTAGACTTCATATTTTCGACTAGTGGGCATTCTACGACCCTTTTATTTGCGTCTTTTCCGTTATGCAATCAATAATGTTTGCTTACTTATCTTGTTTTCACTCTCTTACACTTTTCTTATGTCTTACAGGTAATTCTTTGAGAAAATTAAGGTGAATGGGGATAGATATATGACCAGCATTTTCTACGTAAAAGTCATTTGTGTATTTCAAAGAGCTGAAAAAATTCAATATAATGTTAATGGGAAAAGGAGAACTGACTCTCCCAGATATAAAGAGTTGCGTAGAGTTGTTCAAAGTTTCACACCTATTGGGCCACTGCTTTTTATGTAATTGGTTGCCTTTTAAATGTCTTGGGAATGAGGCAAACTCTAGCCCAATGAGTTCCCTAAACTCCAGGGAATAGATATTAAGCCTTCTGGGAGGTTCTATTTCATTTTCCATGCCCAGAATTAAGGCAAGAAGTGAGCCTATTCCTCACAACCTCTCCCTATGTACCAGATAGGAGTAAAGCCCAAAGACTTGAAAATAACATTTCACTAATTTTTACTCCTAACTCTCTTATTTTCTCAACATATGGGATGAGCTAAGAATCACAAGGCTGATTTTTGCAACTACTGTATGAAGATCTTATAACTTTCATTTTATAATGGAGGAGTACTTGTGTTATTTTTTCTTGAGATCTCAGCAGAAGCCAAGACTAGATTAGTTCTATTTTAACATCATCTTTCAAGAAGGACATTTTATGCTATGATTTTGAGCAAGTAAATGTGTTCGTAAAGAGAGATTGTGTCTAATTTATAATTAACAGAATACTGTGGTCATCATTGTCAAGTCTGGACTATTCTTTTTTGAATATTTGAGAACGAGCAATTGATTTTGCAATTGAATATTGTCAATTGGGAAAGAAAAGTAACTAATTTAATCAAAGTGTGTTTTATATTCTTCAACACCTATTGCTTAACTTGCTATAATATTTTCTTATATGGAAAATGTATTTTACTGGTAAGGATGCAAGTCAAAATAGGTAAAAAAGTCAAATTATATCATCATAAAAGTAGTTTCAGCATAGGATACAGGCAGATCACAAAAGCAAGACAACACTAAACTAACTAAGCTAAGATTTTTAGACATAGTAGTTTTTATAATGGTTATTTGATCGATTATCTGTTTCAAACTTATACCTATATTTTCAGTATTGTTTACATTATCAAAATTTGAAGGTGAAATAAATTACTATACATGCTCAAGGGAAGGGAGTGTGTTCTGATTTTTTTAATTGATTAGCCAAAAATATAAGTGGTGCTCAAAGATGCAAGTCAGCCGATTGATACATGTTGTAAGAATGTGAAATACTTTTATGCTTCAGAGAGCTGAGAAATGCAACACAGCAGGAAGGGAGGTGAAGTGAAACCTCTCAGAGGTCTCAATAGCCATTCCCTATAGTTAAGGGGGCTCAATGGGCTAAGATCTGACTTATACCTAAGACATCTGAACAGCAGATGACAAGATTCTTAGCTAAGAAAGCAAAGGATATATGGACTATCTTAAGCTCATAGAGAGTCCATGATGCAGTCTTTCCTGTGGATCCTACAAAAGAGAAATCTAACCTGAAGACAGCTCATACCTTGCAGATGATTGAAAAGGTAATATAATCTAGCAAGAAGAGGTTCTATGGAGAAAGGAGATACAAGTGTAATATTTCCAGGCATCAAAGGCAGAAGAGAAACGGGGAATGCTACCATCCCCAAAGAACCTGTGTGAGTGTTGCATAAAAAAACAAAACACCTTTAGACACCTACCCAGCCAACAGCATATGCTGTACACGAAACAGCAGTTTTGAGTATTACAGTAGTCTGATATTTTAAAATAAAATCAAATTGTCTTTTATAATTAGAAGGAAACCACAGAATTCTTATTTGTTTTTCATGTGTTCTGGGAGTCAACAGAATAGTTGAATCACGGAACCAAGTCAGGGAAAGCTTTCTAGCCCAAAGAATTGGATTCAATTGAATGCCAACATTTTCCTTTACTACATTTAGGATTCTTGTTCAATGTAACAGCGACAATATCAAGTTGTTAACAGACATTATAGAACTAAAACCAAACTTCTTCGTGTTTTCTGTTTGAGCATATCATACACAGTATAATTAGACTAGTCAAATTTTATGTAATTACAAACATTAGAAATTGTTTTGAAATTGAACATTAAATTACTTTAATTTCCAATATTTTATGTAGACACTAATTAATTTTTGAAATTTAAGTAGAAAATGTAATCTGGAAAATAAACCCTACCATTGTGTTTAAAAATATAAACAAAAGTATAAATATTATTTTTATTATTTAAAATACAATCTATTATAATTATTACCTAGTAGTTTTGACAATTATATGTTTTCATCAATATCACACTTTTAAAAGTTAAGGTAATACAATCTTAAAATAGATGTTAATGAGACTTTTCTGACAATTTTGTAAGAACAGTTATGTACTGGTATTATAGTGCTTCTTGGTCTTAAGTACTGACTCACTAGAATAGGTTACTTAGAGCAGCCTACTTTTGAGCAGCTGGAGATTGCTGTAAAAATAGGTTTTCGCCTTTGTTTAGCTTGATTACATACACCAACAACACAACATACATATATATAAATATATATAAATTAATATATATTTAGCATGCTAATTTTAATTGTCAATATAATATTTTAACTTACTTTGAAATAATGTTTGCAAATAAACTTACTTTGATTTACCATAATACTTTATGTCATAGAATATATATGTTCATGGATGTCATAAAAATGATTTTAAACTATCTCTTTCAAATTTCACCTGTTCTCATTTCCTTTCCTTTTGAAAACACAGATCTGGTTTCCAGAAAAGATGTGAAAAAGAAATGTCAAGAAAGGTCCTCATGTTGCTTTTTTGCTTTTTCCTTGGTTGGAATTTCCAATTCACCACTGATCTAAGAAGCTTTGTTCCTGGGTGTACACGTTTGTCATGTGTACTATATATAGTATCATTGGCTTTTTTTTCACAGTGCAACTGTACTTTACCACACGGGACACACTTACATGAATAAGTAGCCATTTGGATTTTTAACCAGGAAACCCTGGTAAAATTCTTGGTCCTGTTGCATGCATGAGAAACCATAAAACTTTATCTCCCTCATTTGATTTTTAATTCAATAAAGCACAAATTCCCAATGAGCAAATAAAGCAAGTGAAAGGACATTGTAAACTATAGTGTTATATGAAAATCTAAGTTTATATCACTATAGAATGTGGGATTTACATGTAGTACACTATCTTGGATATTGAAACAGGTTATTTAAAGATAAATACATAAAATGGAAAACAATAATAATCATACATTTTGTAATCATTTATGAACTAATTCTCTAATCTATAATTTAAAGAAAGCCTCTACCTCCTGACCCCTGAAAAATGAGCAAAAATAAGATGAATGACCAGATTACAGAGTATTAACAAGAAGGCACTAGAAATTATAAGGCACTCTATCTACCTGCAAGCCTCTCTTCGAACCCCCTTATCCACTGAAATCGAGGGTTGGTATAATGATCTAGAAACTTCAGGAAGTTCTATGTTGTTTTTGTTTGTTTGTTTGAGACAGAGTCTCATTCTGTCACCCAGGCTGGAGTACAGTGGTGCAGTCACAGCTTACTGCAGCTTTGACTTCCTGGGCTAACACCACCTCAGCTACCTAAGTAGCTGGGACTACAGGTGTCCACCTCCACGCCCAGCTAAGTTTTAAAATTTCTTTGTAGAGGCAGAGTCTCACTATGCTGCCCAGGCTGGTGTCAAACATCTGAGCTCAAGTTATCCTCCCACTCTTCAGCTTTCCAAACCACTAGGATTACAGGCATGAGCCACAGCACCCAGCCTGGAGGTTCTATATTGCTGCATGTATCTTTACCCTACCATCTTTTCACAAACGCATTCAGTAGGGTTCATCTCTTTGGAATCAATGTCCAGCTGCTACTTAGATTCAGCCAGTATGAGAGGAGAAGCCAAATTTCCATCTTAAGTCAAAATTGCATATCCTAGCAAAAGTTACAGTGTGTGTTAGGTACCTGGTCAATCATAAAGTGGAACTTTTTTGGATCATTCATGGGTAGTGACAAGCATGATGATTAGAGATTCAGCCAAAGGAACATCTTGACACACATCTCCAATAATATGTTCTTTTCCATGATCAATGAAGACATTTACCATGGGAATGAAGGAGACCAAATTACCATTTTCTACATTAATTCATCAACTCACAATGCGAACCCCATGAAATAGTTCTCTTCTTTTGTTCTTAATAATTTGTATCTTTTAACTCCCAACTTCTTGACTGTGTCTGACTTCTGGCTACATACATTGGGTGAAATTGTCACATTTTATTAATATGTCAATTTTTCATTTACATCCTGGTTCACCTCTTTCTTGTTTTATGACTTTGGACATAACCCCTGTAAAATAGCATATAAGAGCGTTAGTTTCCTAATTTTTTTTCCCCAGAATACTAAGTAGACAATAATTTTAAAATACACACAGGCACTTGAAAAATAATAGTAATTACAAATAAAATATATGTATATATATAAAAATATGTGAATCAATGATATATATATCATATATATACATATGTATATCCACAAATATACACTTCAATGAATCAATTTCAAGTGCTATAAACTCAAGAGCACATTATCTAGAAGTTTATAATTTACCAACAATTTGATTCTTTAAGTTAAAGGAAAGAATGAGTCTGCCCTCTGGTGTGAACTAACTAGAAGCAAACAGTTTATACATTTGAAAGAGTAAAGATAATACCCTATGTATCTTATCCATGTAAGTCTGTGTAATTATATCAGATTTAAATATTTTTAATGACTTGGTTTTATAGCAGATAGGCACATCCATATGAGCACTGAGAAACAAAGACTAAAGAAAATACACAACAACACTGATTCACTCCACCACAAGCTAGTGGCACATTCGTGGATTACACCATCCAGCCTCATTGGTGATCACTTAGGGAGCTGAAAACTATACCCATTGGCTTGGAGTCTCATTCAAACCCTGTCATGGCGGGAGAAGTCACAGATTCATCCATCTGGCCAGCCAGAATGTGCTGCCTTCACCAACAGGATGTATCATACCCTCTTGGAAAATGATCTGGTCATTCCCAAGTTGCATAACCATTTAGACTTAAAGACGTTCCAAACTTAACAATGGCAGTTTGGTGACAAACTCTTAGTGCAGGTTGCCAGTATGACAGGTGAAGCAGAATAAACTTGAAATTGTCTGAAAAGTATCGCAGAGAAAAAAATCTCAGGAGAATTCCTTAAAAGTCTGATATACATCCACAGGCTAAAGAGATTAACCCCTTTCTCTGGGCTAAAATTTACATGAAATATAACTCTCATATGCATGTGAGTAGATCACAGAAACACATTTATATGTCTTCCCAGATCACAAAACTCTATATTCCCAAAGTAATGTGATCATTAAACTCTAGAGTCACATAAACTGTTACTGGTCAATGATTCAGAGTAGACTATTAAAATGTCTTCACATAAGGGATTCTCACTCCCGTCAACCATATGGCTTCACACAAGGCTTTAAAATTTGTGTTTTATCTGCCTTCATCTGTAAAATGGTTGCATTAATAACTCAAAACTCAGTGAGGGAAGGTATTAAAAGTCTAGAGCGGTTTTCAAAAATAACATCTAAGCAGTGCAGTACCCACAAAGAGTTATCATTGTTCTTCTACTGGATCATACAGAATGAACTTGGTAGATATTCAAGTGTATAGAGTTCTATAACCTTATATTAAATAACCTCAGATTGTTGTTTCTAAAATGGCTTTTCTGTCTTTTTCCACATGGATCAATTGATGCATATCCATTATAAGCTTTAAAAAAATTTTTTTCCTCTTAAGGTGTTTTTGTAGACTCTTTATTTGACTTAGGTCCTGAGGGTGGCCACATAGAGAAAGTAAATTATTAATTACTCAGAGGCTACTTCAATTACATTCTTGTCTTGGTTCTTAGCTGCGTTGCATTAGGAATAATTTATAGAAAGTCAGATCTTGAAGGAAGTGAAATGTTGCTACTGAGACATGCCTCACCCATTCCAGTCATTGCTACCATCTGGAAAATGATTATGTACTTCATTGTGTTCTCAGTCAATATTTTCAAAATGCAGCTTCAGATCAAAGATGAAAGAATTATTCAAGCTATCAAATATTTAACTTTCACTAGAACACAAAGTAGAACATGCAAATAAATTGTGCTGAATATTAACATAAGACACTTTTTTAAACGATATATAACATTGTTTAATGCAGAAAAAACAATTTTAAAAGTGTAGGAAGATTTGAAGTTCTAAGGAAAACAATTTTGAAGGTCTACAATTTATTGAATCCTCTCTAGTATTAACCTACTGTGCTCAAAATCCCCAGAGTTTCTGAGTATTCAAACTGAAACTTATTCTTAGAAAGTCTCTCTGAAGCCTTTGTTAGATTAGAAACAGGTATATTTGACTGTTACAAATTATAGCCTGTGGATAGATAGTCCATTTGGTTTGTAACTACATGGATTTTATTTATGCAATTTCACTTGATTCAAACAATTATGTGGTCAAACAGAAATATGTAAGGGGATTTACTTTGTGCACCACTTGCAAATTTGTAAATGAGTTTGCAGATATTTTTCAGTCATACTGAAAAAGATGCAATACTTCAAATTTGTGATTCTGGTACAAGATGGAGTAGATGCACTTCTCCTGGTTTCCACCACTAAATACAGCCATAAAACCTGGACATTATACATAAAGCAAGTATAAGAAGTCCCTGACAGATGAAGAGAAGAAGAAAGAAGACCAACTAAAGACCTGAGTACGTGGGGAAAAACATGGGAATGAGTTCTCTGGATTTTCTGTGTGTCCAACATATACCTCAGACACACTGTGGTTTCCCACCCACCCCATCAGCAAAGACCGATCTTGAAGCATAAACTCCCACCTTTGCCCATCTGTAACAAATTATAACTCTCCAACAACCAGGTGGATATCAGACAAGACTAACTGGTCTGGACTGTCACTCCTACCAGGCAGAAGCAAGGCAACTATAATGGTTAATTTTTTGTATCAAGTTGACTGGGTCACAGGGTGCCCAGATATTTGGGAAATCATTATTTTGAATGTGTCTGTGAGGTGGGTACTTGGATGAGATTCCCATTTGAATTCATACACTTAATACAGTGGATTGCCCCCCTGCTGTTGGTGGGTCCTCTCCAATCTATTGAAGACCGGAATAGAACACAGAGACTGAGTAAGAGGGAACCTCACCTCCCTGCCTGATTCAGCTAAACATAGGATTCTCCTGTCTCTAAACTGGCACCTACACCATTGGTTCTCCTGGGTCTTGGGTTTTCAGTCTGGACCCCACACCACCAGCTCTCCTAGGTCTTGGAATTTCAGACTCAGATTGAAATTCACACCCTCAGCTCTCCTGGGTCTCAGGTCTTCAGGCTAAGGCTGGAACTCACACCATCAACTCTCTTGGGTCTCAGGCCTTCAAGCTCAGACTGGACCTCACACCCTCAGTTCTCCCAGGTCTCAGGCCTTCAGGTTCAGACTGTAACTCACACCATCAACTCTCCTGGGTCTTAACTCAGTCCTTCAGACTCAGACTAGAACTCATACCCTCAGCTCTCCTGGGTCTCAGGCCTTCAGACTCAGACTTGAACTCACACCATTGGCTCTCCCGGGTCTCAGGCCTTCAGACTCAGATTGAAACTCACCCCATGAGCTGTCCTGGATCTCAGGCCTTTAGTCTCGGACTAGAACACAGACTACCAACTCTTCTGAATTTCCAACTTGCTGCCTACAGATTTTAGGACCTCTAATTTTCCATTTTGTGAACCACTTTCTCTTAATAAATCTCTTTGAATCTATCTATGTATCTGTCTATCTTCTATAAAGTCTTTCTCAGAGAACCCTAATTCAAACTCTCTCTCTGTCCCCACTGGGGTGGTGTCAGAAGAAACCCAGTGGAGAGTCAGGGTGAGAAGTTTGCCTGTTTCCCATTGTGGTGTCATTGCAGTCATTATGAGACATCTCTTTACCCTTCTCACAATCCCACAGTGGCCTTATCAACATGGATCACAGAGATTACAGGGAAAATATGGACTTCCACCCCTCCTTCCTGTAGTGAGGTGATACTCCACTTCTCCCATAGGCATGATCTCAGAAGAGGTCTCCTACAACAAAATAATTAAACAATGTGCAAAACCTCAAACATAATCCTAAATGTCCAGGATATAACTGAGAATCACTGTCCATACTAAAACATAACATTCCTTCAATGAGCAATTAAAAACTCTTGAGACAGATGAAAACGTAGAAAGTTTCAGAGAAGAAATAGAAGACATAGAGAATAACAAAACGAAAATTTTAGGACTAACAAATATAGTAACTGAATAAAAGATTACCAGACAGGCTTAACAGAAGAATGGAGAAAACAAAGGAAAGATAAGTGAGTTTGAAGATAGAATAGAAATTGTTTTAACCCAATTTAAATAGCAGAAAAAATAGAAAATTATGTATAGATTTTCAGGGACCTAACTTTATATGATTGGAATCCCAGAAGGAAAGGGGAAATAATTTGTGCTGAAAAAAATACATAACTGAAAATGTTTCCTAATTTAGCAAAAGTAATAAATGTACAAATTGAAGAAACTGTGAACTCAAACAGAATAAACTTAAAGACATTCACACCAGGATGCAACCTGGTTTAATTACAGAAACTTAAAGGCAAAGAAATAAATCTTGAAAGCGTTGGAGAGAAATGATGCATCATCTATGTAGGACAAAACGCATTGTCTAACAGTGTATTTTTCATTAAAAACCATGAAGTCCAACAAACACCAACACAGGATTTTTATGTGTTGAATACAAATCACTGTCAACACATGATTATATATCTAGCTAACACATTTGTTTATGAATTAATGTAGAACCCTAGACATAGGTGAAGGAAAACTAAGAGATGTTGTCTCCAACAAGCCTACCCTTGAAGAACTACTTAAAGTTTTAAAACATAAAGTAAACAATAAAGAAAGAAAATTGGAATACCAGGAAGGAAGACAAAATAACAGAAAGAGAAAACATTTCAGTTAATACAATGGCCTCTTCTTCTTTCCTTGATTTTTCTAAATTATGTTTAATAGTTGAAGCAAAAAAAGTATAGCATTGTATTATGTGGTTGTGAATGCATGTTGAATATATAATTAAGATAATTGTATTATAGATAGGGAAAGGTAAAGAGAGATAAAGGAAAGGAAAATTTCTACCCTTCTCTCAAACAAGTAAGATGCTGAGACTAGCAGGTGGTGATGAGCCATATGCATATAAGCACTGTAAATAAACTAATGTTTAATTAGAAAATAACTGTAAGTAACCCAGAGGAAGGCAATTAGGAAAAAAAAACAGGGAAATGAAGAACAGAGGAACAAACTGAAAAGAAAACAAAATAAAATCAATTAAGCACTTACATATCAATAATGTATCTTTTAAAAATTGCTTTTGATACTAGCATAAAATTGGAAACAACCAAAATGACACTGAATGAGTGGTTAAACAAACTGGAATACATCCATGCAGTGGAATATTATTCAAAAATAAAAATAAATGAATGACTAGTTCACACAACAACTGGATGGACCCTGAGGGCATTTGGCTGAATAAGTAACACCACTCTCAAAATGTCACATACAATATCACTCCATTTATATAACGTTCTTGAAATGGCAAGATTTTGTGATATATGTCACCACATTTTTAAATATCATAAGTTCAAACTTTCTAATAACTGATATATCTTCTTTATACATACTAAGATTTTTTAATATACTACCACTCATTATTAAAACATTTGAAATAGTCATTATAAAAAATAAAACAGGCTGGACACAGTTGCTCATGCTTGTAATCCCAGCATTTTGGGGAATGAAGCGGGAGATTACTTGAGCCTAGGAGTTTGAGACCAGCCTGGGCAACATAGCAAGACGTCATCTCTACTAAAATAAAAAATTTAAAAAAATTATCAAGGCATGATGGTGTACACCTGTAGTCCTAGATACTTGGGAAGCTGAGGTGGGAGGATCACTTGAGCCTGGGAGGTCGAGGCTGCAGTGAGCCATGATCATGCTTGCACTCCAACCTGGGTGACAGAGTAAGACCCTGTCTCAAACAAAATAAAATAAAATAAAACAAAATATCCATGGTTTGTCTAGCAAAGTCTTAAGCACAATAAATATAGTGAGAATAGAAAACATTTTACAAAAATCACATCTTGTCATTAGTTGTAATTGACAGTGGTACATCTGTGGATAGAGTAAAATGTAATTATAAAATCATTAACCTGATATATTATGATTATTTATTTAATTAAAATATTATACAGTAAAATTTCTAGGTAATATTGACCTACACATGTGAATGGGTATAATAGAAATTGATGCATTATAAGGGAAGTGTATGTGGTGGGTGGTGTATAATACAACTTCCAGCATGAGAATGTCAGGGCAAGGAAATTCAGTGAAATAATAAAACAAGTAAACTTCAAACAATTCAAATTAAAAAAAAAACAGAAACAGAAAAATTAAGATATTTAGAAATTCACAGCATAAGAGGACAAAAAATTCCAACTTTTTAAGAATAATACTCAATGTAAATGAAAGCAGTGTGAATGCTTTCTAGTTAAAGATAAAGACTGTTGAGCAGAACTAAACATTTTTAAAATCCAGCTTTTCACTTTACAAAAAGGAAAACTAAATCATGAGGACACAAAAAAGACAAAAAAAATCATGATTATTATTTTAATGGGATATCATACAACTGTGAAAAAGAAAGAACCCACTATACACATCAACATGGACCAATTTTTTTAAAAAAGGAATATTTGAACAGGAAGTCTTTGTGCGGAAAAACATATTCACCTAACTTTATTCATATAAATTTTTAAAACAGAAGAATTCATTGACATGGAATTTACAAAAGCATTCATGCAAGCTAAAATGTATGGAAATGAAAAATTAGGTTAGATGCAAAATTTTGGGGGGACAGAGGAGGAATCTGGTGAAAATTCATGATCCAGATACAAATTTGAAGTGGCACATTGTATTAGTTCATTCTCATGCTGCTAATAAAGACATACCCGAGACTGGGTAATTTATAAAGGAAAGAGGTTTAATGGACTCACAGTTGCACATGGCTGGGGAGGCCTCACAATTATAGCAGAGGGCAAATGAAGAGCAAAGTCATGTCTTACATGGTGGCAGGCAAGAGAGCGTGTGCAGGGGAGCTCCCCTTTATGAAATCATCACATCTCATGAGACTTATTCACTATCACGAGAACAGCATGGGAAAGACCCTCCCTCATGATTCAGTTAGATCTCACCGGGTGTCTCCCATGAAATATGGTAATTATGGGAGCCACAGTTCAAGAGGATATTTGGGTAGGGACACAGCTAAACCATATTACACATGGATCCATTTGCTAATGTTAAATCATCAGTTATTCATTTCATTTTTTCCTTTTTCTGATTTGCTAAAATATTTGGAAGTTTGTCTTGCCACAGAAGGCAAGGACATTTTCAATGTAAGGAATAAAGCCAAGAGCAAGGCTGCAAGTCATAGGCTGGCATTGAGCATGAGGAAGGCTTGTCACGCTAGGCAGATCCTTCCCTCACCACTGACTATCTGCACTGGAGGAACCCAGGAGAGCTTGAATATTTCTAATCATTGAATGCCCCAGGACCCTTCAACACAGGAAGTGATCAATTGCACCTGAGTAACCTGTGGCTGAGGACGGGAATGTGTCATCTCAAGCTGATTGGAGCATGCCTGACCTCCTCAGTTTAATGGTTCTTCTTTCCCTTGAATTAGAAATGACCTCCCTATACATACCTTCCATGAAAGATCCTGTCTCAGCCTATTCAGGCTACTATAGCACAATACCATAGAGACTGCATGACTTATAAACAACAGATGTTTATTGCTCACAGTTCTGGAGGCTGGAAGTCCAAGATCAAGGCATGGCTGATTCAGTGTCTGCTGGACTCACTTCCTGATTCACAGAGATGGAGGCTTCTCACTGTATCCTCACACGGTGGAAGGACAAGGGAACTCTCAGGGGCCGCTTTTATAAGGGCACTCATCCTATTCGCAAGTCTCCACCCTCCTGACGTCATCAGCTCCCAAAGACCCCTCGTTTTAATATCGTCATCTTGGAGGTTAAGACTTTAACGTATGAATATCTGGGAAGACATAAACATTTAAACCACAGCAGATCCTCAACCTTTCACACAAAACATCATCTTTTATGTGATAGCATTTGTGTAATTTGTAGTGTTGGAAGGTTACTAATTTTAAACCGTGAATTTATGAAGGTTACACCCACAATCTAGTTAGCCTTTTTTTTAAAAAAATTCTTTAACATTGTCTATTTGTAACTAGGGATTTGCCTCTATTTAGAAACATCTATATCAACAAATATTTCATTTCAGTTGTGGAGAAAATAAATCTAGGGCCACCTTGAATAAGGAAAAATAAAGTAAAACTTACTTGTGTTTTCATTTTTTATTCTTGTCGCAGAATTGACCCTATATTTAAGAGTATAGATGCACACACATATATGTAGTATTATTTATTTTTATATTTTTTATATAATTGTGCATACATATTCACAAATACTAATTCTGTTTGTCTGAATGACTACATCTTCAACTTCAATGTATGTTTTCCTGAAATATTTTATGAGCTGTTCAGGGAAAACAAAGGAGCTTTTCATTGAAGTCTAATCAAGAAGACTTGCTCAATGTAGAGTAATAGGACAGCATCCTGATAGAAATATAACTTTCAAAGGCTGTGTCATTAAAAGAAAGCAAGCTGTTGAAGGCATGTTACTATTCATAAAATTGAAGATAAATAATTTGTGATTAATAAAATTGCAGTTTTTTAAACTTTTAGGTTCAGGGGTGCATGTGCAGGTTTGTTATGTGTCACGGGGTTTGTTGTACAGATTATTTTGTCACTCAGGCACTAAGCCTAGAACTCACTAGTTATTTTTTCTGCTTCTCTCCTTCCCCCTACCCTCCACTGTCAAGTAGACCCCAGTGTCTGTTGTTCCACTCTTTGTGTCCATGAGTTCTCCTCTTCTAGCTCCCACTTATACTTTTAAATATAATCCAAGTTCAAAGTTCTTTCTAATCTTAAAGCATCGTTAAGCCACATTCCCTGAAGCAACTGACCCAAGAGAATTAGAGAAGAGTTTATGGCTTGATGTTCCAGGAGAAAAATACAAAATCAGATTAGAAGAAAGGAAAGAGCTGAGCCAATTCTGTGTTTACTATGCCTGTCTAATTTCTCCTTGACTATTGGCAGCAGAATGTTTTCGTTCCATGATGCAGATGAATTCTTACTGAAGTTTCTGCTATCCATCCAAGGCAACATAGCTTGTTCCAATATTCAGAGAACAGCAGCCCTAATAAATAAACACACAACCACATATAAGGATTGTTGGCTTAAAGTCATGACAATTTTTTTGCTTTTTGATGTAAAATATATCTTTTCATCTTTATGCAGAAATTAAAAGTTACTCACCACCCACTTTTTCTCCCTCTTAAAAAGATTGTTTCTTGGGCAAGCATCTGGGGCTGTGGTGGCTGCTACAGGGATATTCTGACAGTGAACGATGGTGGGGTGGGTAGTGTTAACAGAAGATGAGAGGCTGCAAACTCCAGTGTGGTGTGGACAGCATAAATCCCATGACAACATAGCTACTGTTCATATATCTTGCATTTCTTGAAAGCTGACATTGAGATTAATGATTTGAAATGCAGTTGTGCTATTCATTTATTACCAAAATTTTCTTTGCAGAAGGCTAGTCCTGAAAATAACTGTGCTTGATCCATTTGGCAGCTTCTTAGTAGGTTACGTCGAATCTTTTTTTCTGAAATATCAAAATGATTCATTTTGTTGAATGTCCAGCATGATGCTTGAGAAAGAATAGAAGACACACTAAAAACATCATCTTTAGAATTTCCATTGTCATCAGAGAAATATCTGATTTTTCTCTTTTACTAAGAGGGAAATTATAAAACAGAGACCCATGTAGATAAATTTTATAACTCATATAAACTGGTAAAGAAAACCACTGATTGTGCTAAACATGATAGCTATAGCAAAAGTTGTAGTTGATTCCCTTTTTAGCTATTTACAGAAAGGCACAATGAAGAAAAATGTAATAATTTGTAAAATGGAAAACATCTTTTTTTGCCAAATATGATTTCCATAGAAAAAATAAACTATTCATATTAATACCCAATTTGGATGGCACATTTCATGTGAAATGCACTTTACTAATCATTGCCATAAAATGAAAGTGAGGACATGTGCAGTGGCTCATGCCTGTAACCCCAGCACTTTGGGGAGGCCGAAGCAGAAGGATCACTTGAGCCCAGGAGTTGAAGAATAGTCGGGCAACATAGCAAGACCCCTAACTCTACAAAAAATAAAAAATAGCTGAGCATGGTAGTGCGCACCTTGGATCCCAGCTACTCTGGAGGCTGAAGCAGGGGGATCACTTGAAGCCAAGAAGTCGAGGCTGCAGTGGGCTATAATCTCACCAGTTGACTCAGGGCTGCACAACACAGCAAGACCCTGTCTCTAAAGAAAAAAAAAATGAAGTGAATATGCCTAGCCTTAAGGAATTTGTAGAGAAGTTTGGCCAAATAGAATATTTGACTTTTAGTGAATATTAATAAGATCTCCAGTGGAAAAATCCTTTAAATTAACATTTATGAGCCCTTTTCCAAATATATTTATTATAAAAACTGGAAAACAGTGTGGAGTTGGCACTGAATCCATAGTAGGAAGATGCAGTCATTTGTTCTCGTGTGATCATATGTGTCCATGTGGAAAGCTACATTTCTTTCGTGGAAGATGTAGGAAGATATATTTCCAGGAAGCTATATATTGTCCTCTTCCTTACAAGGCAGCAACACACACATGCTTTGAATTGTCTCACTGTGTTGTTCAACTAGCAATTCCATTTTCAACTCAACCCTTTCTCATGCAGAGCAAAGTTGCTCATTTCAATCAGCTTTTAAATAGGGAAAAACTGGAAAAACCTTAAATGTACATCAGTGGAGGAATGGAGAAAAATATCTCTTATTTATTCATATAGTGGAATATTATACAGAGTTATTGGAGCAAATAGGTTTATATTTACCAAGACCAAATCTCAGAGGCATATATTTGAGCTAAAGAAGCAATCAGCAGAAACATATGTGCATAAATGGAGAAGATAATATGTTTCATATGCCAGAATTGAAATCAATCAGATATGTTTTCTTTAGGATACATAAATAATTTTAAATTTTTAAAAAATATTAAAAAAAAGAGAATAATTAGGAAAGTAGTAATATGTGGTGGAAGCGAGGAGTGGGAATTTTGGGGGGAGTTATATCTTTTAAAAAATGATTAGAAGCAAAATTAGCTCTTAGTGTCTGCACATTTAATGTTTAAAATATTTTCTTAATCAGCTAAGATTATAACAAGAATGTACAAGACTTTTAAAGAGAAAGCTCCCAATATTGTTGAAAAGTAGCAGAAAATAGAAATAAATGGAGAAGTATGAATATATGTAGATAGGAAAACTCAATAGTGTAAAAATGACACATCATCTTATATCAAAAGCAATGCAATCCCAAAGAAAATGTTTATTATTTTGTAGAAATTGACAAGATATCCTAAAATTTTGAGGAAACATTATGAGGTAATAGCACCCGAGGACAATATGAAATTAAAGAATGAATACACGAAAATGGAACTTTCAAACAGCAAAATATATAGAAATTTGAGTAATGTGGTGTTGGCAAGAAATAAAGAAACAACATCAGTTTGATTCTGAAAAAAGTGTTGACATCATCTTCAAACACATATTTTATTGCCATGTTAGCAAAAAAAGGAAAAGAGAAGAAAATTTTTAAAGGAATAAAAAATTTTTAAGTTAAAATATGTCTTTTTTTTTTTTTTTTTTTTTTTTTTTTTGAGACGGAGTCTCACTCTGTCGCCCAGGCTGGAGTGCAGTGGCATGATCTTGGCTCACTGCAAGCTCCACTTCCTGGGTTCACCCCATTCTCCTGCCTCAGCCTCCCGAGTAGCTGGGACTACAGGCCACCACGCCTGGCTAATTTTTTGTATTTTTAGCAGAGACAGGGTTTCACTGTGTTAGCCAGGATAGTCTCGATCTCCTGACCTTGTGATCTGCCCGTCTCGGCCTCACAAATCATGTCTTTTTTTAATATCAACTTTTTTTTAAGTTCTGGGGTACATGTGTGGGATGTGCAGATTTGTTATATAGGTAAACGTGTGCCATGGTGGTTTGCTGCACAGATCATCCCATCACCTAGATATTAAGCCCAGCACCCACTAACTGTTCTTCCTGATAGTCTCTTTCCTCTCTCCCTGACTGACAGGTCCCAGTGTGTGTTGTTCCCCTTCATGTGTCCATATGGTCCCATTGTTCAGCTCCCACTTTAAGTGAGAACATGCAGTGTTTGGTTTTCTGTTCCTGCATTAGTTTGCTGAGGATAATGGCTTCCAGCTCCAACCATGTTCCTGCCAAGGACATAATCTCTTTCCTTTTTATGGCATAGTATTCCATGGTGTATATGTACCACATTTTTTTAATCCAGTCTATCATTGATTGAGATTTGGGTTGATTCCATGTCTTTGCTATTGTGAATATTGCAGTCAACATACACATGCACGTATCTTTATAATAGAATGATTTAGGAATATTTTTAAAAAAATAAGATGAGGTTAAATTCATAAAATTCATAAATACAGAAAATACAGGGTCAACTATGAACATGTGACTTTTTATCCTCTGGTAACATAATGTGTTCACTGAGAACACATTGCACTCAAAACATGGGTCTAATTTACATAATAAATCATCACATATTCAGCATCTTAAAATAACCTCCATTTATCAGTTCACTGTTTTTGCGGGTCAAAGGCTGGGTGCATGGTCACTAGGTCTTCTGCAAGGTTGCAGATAAAGTATTAGCCAGGGGTGCATTCTCATCTGAAAGCTTGACTGTGGATAGAATCATTTGCAAGCACACTGAGGTTGATGACACAATTTATTTCCTCATAGCTGTAGGACTGAAGAAATCCTGCAGTGGCTTCTAGCTGGCTGTGAGCTGGCTGTGGGCTGAAGGCCACTGTGAGCGAACAGAGGCCACATAAGCTCCCCATATGTCTATCCACAACATGGTGTCTTTCTTCTTCAAAGTTAGCAAGAGAAAAAAAGGCAAATTCTAGAGTCAGTCAACTAATACAATGAAGTCTTATTTCATCTGTCTTAAGCAACTTGGGCTGTTGTAACAAACAGCATAGACTGAGAGGCTTAAACAACAAACATATTTCTCATAGTTCTAGAGGCTGGAAGTCCAAGATCAAGATCAAGGATTCAGTTCCTGATGAGGCCTCCCTCTTCCTCTTATGTCCACCTTCTTCCTGCATCCTCCCATGGAAGACAAAGACAGGGAGAATAACCTCTGGTGTCACTTCTTCTTCTTCTAAGGAAACAAATCCCATCATGGGAGCTTAATCACCTCCTGAAGGCCCCAACTCAAAATATCATTACCTTGGGGGTTAAGGTCTCAACATATGAATTTTGAGGGGACACAAATATTTCATGGACAGCACCATCATAATTGCCATAAAAGATAATCTAATCAAAGAATTGCCATAGAAGGTAATTTTAATCAAATTATATTTGGCAGTGTATGGGTTAGAGCAAGAAAAAAGTCCCACTCACACTGTAAGGGGATTACACAAGAGTGTGAATACCAGGAGGTAGGGTCATGGAGGCCACACTGGAGTCTATTCACCACATTAGTTACTCAGTTATTGTGTTTATCACCTACCTATCTAATCATCTATCTATCTATCCAACTATCATCAATCTATCTGTCTTCTATCAACCATCCATCTCTTATTTTTCTATCTTTTCATCCATATCTGTCTATCTATCTATCTATCTATCTATCTATCTATCTATCTATATCTATCCACCATCTCCATTTATCTTGCATGTACTTATTCATTTTATCTATCCATCCATCTCTATCTTTCTATTTCTCCATCCATATCTATCTATCTATCCACCTATCCATCTCTATTTATCTATGAATGTATTTATCTATTCATTCATTCATCTATGCATTTATCTCTATCTATCTCTCTATATATCCATCTATATCTATTTATCATCTATGTGTGTGTATCTCTTATCTATCTAATTTTAAAAACAACTACATAAGCTAGAAAGTCATGACTAAACTTAGATCAGCAGATTTTTGATATGGTGCTTATTTCTAATGTTAAACACATATTATGGTTCTTCTTTTAGGATATTTTGACTTGATGGTGGATAATATATTTATGTTCATTTTATAAACATTTTGTGTAGTGTACTGTCTTTAGAAATACGATGGCATTAATGATTCTGTCTTTTCAGATATTGTCAAAATCCTAAACACAAATCATTAGTGTTGGGATGTAACCAGCTGCATGTTGTAGCAGTGAGAGGAAAATGCATATAGGGCTCATAAAATCCTCCTAAGAAGTCTATGAAAGCATTTCTAGATATCATGTGTATAAGTTGGTTGAGAAAAGTCAATCCTCTAAAAAAGTGGTCCCCAACCTTTTTGGCACCAGGGTCCAGTTTCTTGGAAGGCTATTCTTCCATGGACTGGGAGTTGGGAGAGATGTTTTTGGGATGATTCAAGGGCATTACATTTATTCTGTACTTTATTTTTATTATTATTCTATTGTGACACAATGAAATAATTACACAACTCTCCAGAATGTAGAATCCATGGGAGCCTTGCGTTTGTTTTCTGCCAACTAAACAGTCCCATCTCGGGGTGATGGGAGATGGTGACAGATCATTAGGCATTAGATTCTTATAAGGAGCACACTGCACAATAGGGTTTGCACTCCTATGAGAATCAAATGCCTCTGCTGATCTTGCAGGAGGCGGAAGTTAGTTGGTAATGAGAGCAATGGGAGTGGCTGGAAATACAGATGAAGCCTTGTTTGCTGGTCCGCCTTTCACCTCCTGCTGTGCTGCCTGGTTTTTTTTGTTTTGTTTTGTTTTGTTTTGTTTGTTTTGACACAGAGTCTCACTCTGTTGCCCAGGTTGGAGTGCAGTGGCGTGATCTTGGCTCACTGCAACCTCTACCTCCTGGGTTCAAGGAATTCTCCTACCTCAGGCTCCCAAGTTGCTGAGATTACAAGCACCTGCCAGCACACCTGGCTAATTTTTGTATTTTTAGTAGAGATGGGGTCTTGCAATGTTGGCCAGGCTGGTCTTGAACTCCTGACCTCAAGTGATTTGCCTGCCTTGGCCTCCCAAAATGCTGAGATTACAGGTGTGAGTCACTGCACCTGGCCGTGGTCTACTTCTCAACAGGCCACAGACTGGTACCAGTCCATGGCCAGGGGGTTGGGGATCCCCTGCTCTAAAGGAATCACCAAAACATATTAAACAAAAATCCATAAGTTGACCATAGTTTTAGGATTCAAAATATTTGTGGCCACAATATTAATAACATGACCAGAATATTCGTGATGAGGGGCAAACCCCTATTATATAATTAGGAAAATGATTCAGAGACTGCACATGGTTTTCATGAAGATAAAGCAGCTACACTTGAAAATTCAAGTTAGACCATTCCATTTCAAAAAATGCCTAGACTTCTGATATTTGCAAGCATGCTCCATATCACCATCACCTCAGCCAGCTGTTAGCTCAGAGATTAACACCACACACGGTAAAAACAGTGTGTATAAATGTCCACAGGTCCTGAGAGCTCTTTCCAACACTTCCACTCCTGTGGCCAGCATGCAAATGCCAAATCATGATGCGATCCCATTTTAATAGCATTCTCTTCTTAAACCCCTGCCTGTGACATTTCTGTATACGTGTAATTAAGACCCTTAAAGGGAGCTAAAAGAGGCCAACTTAATAAAAATGGCAAATTGGATGAAGTAAATAAAGAAGAAGACAGAACGATGTTGTAGGGCTGCTATAAACTTTTTATTGGTCCATGCTTGAGAAATCCTGAAGGACTCATTTATAGCCTCCCTCCTTAATGCATTCGCAGCCACCTTTAGCTCCTGGCAATAGAAATTCAAAGAATCTCCACATAATCACTTCATTTTCCCCATTCTCTGTCTCTTGTTCAGCTTTGTATAGAGACTTTTAACAAATCTTGTGTGCCTCTTTTATGCCCTCTCACTGTACAGAAATTAATGAAGCAGATTAGTTACTCTGGGAACACTGGTGTTGGCTCAGACAAGGCTCAGTGCCATCCACAAATGTGGCACAAAGTTAATTTGGGTTAGTGTTTGAAATACACATGGCAGTTTGGGAAACGTAGGCGTTGATCATGACCATTGGAGCCATAGGTAATATAATTGAAATGGAGCATATTTTGCTGCTTTGCTTATTTATCAGCAGGGCAGCTAGGTAGCTCATTTAATACAGCATTATTTTTGGAATGTACAATGAGTGCTTAGACCTAGAAAACTGGAGATTCACCTGCAGGAATACACACAATCAGAATCTAGGGCACCATGAAACTCATATATTTAGCCACTCCATGAATACCCTAGTTTGCATGGTACCAGTCTATAAACTCCAAAAAAAAAAAAAAAAACAACAACAATAGACACAGGTTGGAACATTCAACCTCGAAAAGTCATCTCTGGAAAATGCTCTTGAAAATCCACATTATAATAAGGACTCAATGATTTACAAGCACTTGTAAGGGCTCCAGCACACATGTGACATTGTCGTTCATCATATTTGCCATGAATCTGGACAGCTTCACAGTGACTCCCTGACAGCAACACTTTTGTGCTAGCAGAATGCCCTTGAAAGATATCATGACATCAAGTATGCCTGTAACAACCACCTAGGACAGACCAAATTGCTCATGGTGGGAGTGGACAGTTAGAACATAACAGAATAGAAAACCATATTTAACAATCTTGTGTAAAGAAGGGAAACGTTATCATCTAAGTGGAGGGGGTCCCTGGATATGCCACTAGCAACTATCATCTCCATGATTTTTCACACAAGCCTGCATGGCATCTGTGTCCATCAGCCTTTATTATGATTTGACTTATGTACCCTCAAAAATGTATATGACAAAGCCCTTCCCACACCCTACCTCCCAATACCTTAGAATATAACCATATTTTGTAGTAAGGTTATTGCAGATGTAGTTAAGTTAAGATTAGGTCATATCAGAATAACATGGATCCTTAATCCAACATGACCAGTGTCTCTTTATGAAAAGGAAACATTTGGACATAAAGACTCACAGGGAGAAGGTCAAGTAAGACAGAAGCAGAGAGTGGATTTATTCCACTAAGAAACTACCAGAAACTAAGAAAAAAGGCTGGAACAGATCTTGACCTCACACCTTCAGCGAGAGCACCCTCCTGATCTCACACTTCTGGCCTCCAGAACTGTACGGCAATAAATTTCTGTTGAGTAAGCCAATCAAATGGTGATATGCTGACATGGCAGTTCTAACAAACACATGCAGTCTTTTTTTTTTTTTTTTTTTGGTGCAATAAATAGAATTCACACTTACTACCTTAGGCAGCAAAAGATTTTCTTATCCAAGAGTGCAAAATTCAGAGAATATCCTGGGGTATCAGAAAGTTAGGTTTTAAAGCTTATGCAGCCTGAAAAAGAAATTCATCCACATTTTGGGAGCTTTTATAGTACAAATAGCAGGTTGCTTGCCACCTTTGACTCTTGCCGTTGGAAAGCAGAAATGCCATTTCTGTTGCTGCTATTCAGCCTAACATCTTCCCAGGAGAAGCCAGGAGCCCAGTGACCCGGCCAGCAAGTCATTCACTTCTGGAACCAAATCTCCCTGTAGGCTGTCCAGTATCACTAGAAATTGGGTCATCTGGTGTACACCTGACATGCAAGGGAGTTAGGACACCATCTGACTTCTGCATTGTGAGTCAGCTCAGACCTGGAGAAATTCATAAACTAGGCAGACGGTTTCGATTGGAAGGCCACAGAGAACAAAGATCCACAGATGTGTCTGAAATTTCTACCATTAGAGACATAACTTTGTGATTAATTCATCTTTTTATCTTACGTACTTAAAAAATCAATGTCGCACCATCATAGTTTCAGCCACTGGGAATCCAAAATGAACAAGATAGTTGCATTCCTGTTCCTCATGGAGCTTATATTCTAGTAAGGAAAATTATTTTAAGACATTAAAATATGTTCTTATTCATAAGTGGGAGCTAAGTTATGAGGATGCAAAGGCATAAGAATGATACAATAGACTTTGTGGACTCAGGGTAGTGGTGATTTGTGCGCACCACTACATCTTAGGTTTAGTGTACACTCCTCATGTAACCAAATACCACCTTTCCCCCAAAAACCTATGGAAATACATTTTTTAAAAAGACATTAAAGTAGAATTACAGTTATAATTAATGCTTTGAAGGATAAGTATAACTGGTGTTTATGGGCGGAGTTGTGTTCAATTTTTGGTCACACAGAGGATTGGTGCTTTGAAGGAAAAGCCCACAGATACAGTTGTGTGGGTTTACAGCTGCTGCAAAACACATCAGACAGGGACAAAGGAAGATTGAAATCAAGGTCAACTCTACAAGCTCTGCCCTGGTGCATGGTTGTGTCTGTCCCGAGTGAGGTGCGCTGTTCCTAATAAGCACTATGCACTGCGTTGGCTAAGGGGAGCTAGCTGTGTGCAGGGTGTGCTGCTGAGGCTCTACAAAGGAGAAAATGTGAAAGGAGAGACAGAAACAATGCTGTTTATATTGAGAGCAAAAGGATGAAAAGATTCACCCTGACGTCTAATTCTAATCTTCTAGTTTGTTCACTCAAATTTTCTCTGCAACCCTGTATGGATATATATGGAGCTTGTGATGGTGATCAGGATGTACTTTTTTTTTTTGAGATGGAGTCTTACTCTGTCTCCCAGGCTGAAGTGCAGTGGTGCAATCTCAGCTCACTGCAACCTTCGCCTCCTGGGTTCAATGATTCTCCTGCCTCAGCCTCCTGAGTAGCTGGGATTACAGGTGCTCACTACCACGCCTGGCTAATTTTCGTATTTTTAGGAGATACCGGGTTTCACCACATTGGCCAGGCTGTTCTCGAACTCCTGACCGCAAGTGATCCACCTGCCTCAGCCTCTCCAAGTGCTGGGATTACAGGCCTGAGGTGCAACGCCCGGCCATGATGTACATTTTTGTACCTGTCAAGACAAGTTCTTTTACCCTGCACACTCTGTAGCCATTATATTTTTCCGCATTTTGGCTATTTGTGTGATTTGTTTTCTCAGTGCATTTTAAGATTATTTTGCCCAAGTTAGAAATAAAATCATTACATTGGAATTGGATGGAATGACACATACACGCATTCATACACATGAACAATTTTAGTTATAGTTTTTCATCAAAAGCTAACTTTTCATATACTTAGATACTATTCATGGCTCTTGATGACTATATTATTTTCTTACTGTAAATCATTACTGTGTTTCTGTTTTCCCCTTAATTACTGGACTAGAAAAATATATTATGTTTTAAAGGTAATTAATTGTGGCCAGCTAGTTTTCCAAATGCTAATATTAATGCTAGTTTCTACTTTTTCTTGTTACTCAGTTTGTCTTGTATATGATTATATCAACAGAAATAACTATATCTTTTCATTTATACGGTTCATGCTGTTAACTTGTTCTTTTTCTGTTTGCTAAAATCTGAAAGGTCATGTTAAATAATGTTGAAAGTAAGTATTCTCTTCTTTGTTCCTTTTATTAAAATTTCCTTTAATGTTTGCCGTTTAAAATAGTTGCTGTTGATACATGTGTAGTTCTGGCCCCTTATTCAGAGATGTTTTTTAAATGTATTTTTGTTTTGTTTTGTTTTGTTGTTTGTTTGTTTGTTTTGCTTTGCTTTTTGACACAGGGTCTGGCTCTGTCACCTAGGCTGGAGTGCAGTGGTGCGATCTCTGCTCACTGCAGCCTTGATCTCCCAGGCTCAAGGGATTCTCCCACCTCAGTCTCCCGAGTAGCTGGGACTACAGGTGCACCATCACATCTGGTGGTCATTTTTTTTGTATATTTTGTAGAGACATGGTTTTGCCATGTTGCTCAGGCTGTGCGGAACTCCTGAGCTCAAGCAATCTGCCCACCTTGTCTTCCCCAAATGCTGGGATTACAGGTGTGAGCCATCGCACCCAGCCTGTTTCCCTTTCCTTGTTCATAAAGAGGCACTCTACTTAACATATGGGATTGCAGATTAATTAAGGCAATGCCATTAATTAATTTGAAGACACAATAATTAGATTAACAATAATAATAATAAAAGGATCTACCCATGGAAAATAAAAGTAGGAACAAAGAGTAGAAATTGTGATTTATGGATTGAGTACACATTTTGTATATCATCAGTACAATTTTAAATAATGCCTACTGGGGTTTTTTTCCTTTTTTTTTTTTTTTTTTTTTTTTGTTGGTTGAACTTAGTTGAGAGGATTCATTTCATGTTTCTTTCCTAAGTTTAAGTTTGTTCTGGAAATGGGGTTGTGTGCGTACCTGTTTAACAGAGATCAAATTAGGTCAATCTGTGTTCACACCATTTGGAACTGTAATTGGTTTCTTTAATTGACTCCTGTGAACCAGCACAGAATCAGCTCAGATTCTTCTGTCACTACTCCAGAGAGGGCTTGGTCTCCTGGGAACTTGAGTAATTAAAACTACCAAAGGGATTTAAATCCCGCACTCCATAGAGATGATCAGCTACAATAAGTTTCATGAAATTGAAGTTATTTTTCTTTACAGAGTCCCCATCTCAGTCGCAAACGTTCGCAGCTTCAGTTTGAATATGAAAAGAAAAACTGAGATACAGCATTCTCAAGAAAGATATATAAATCCATCTTTTTATCTTATTTCCTCTCAAAAGCAAATATATGGATCTTTTTTTAACCATGACTCTCGTGTCACATTTAAATAATGATATTAACCATCACATAAAAGTGAAAGGAATTAAACAAATGCCCCTCTCATGTCCTCAGTTTGTACTTGCACAATTTTTCTGTGCTTTATTTAGTTGCTTTTAAAGGCAAACTTACCAAATGCTCCCAAATCAAGTTTACTACCCACTGTTATGTGGGCAATTTTCTTAGCTATCACTAGAGCTGCTTTTGTTAACCTATTTGTGCCAAGCACTGAGCTAAATCTTTCACATATAGCCCTTATCACTAGCTCATGTTGCCTATGAGGAAATTGGTGTTCTTAGCATTAAAGAAACTGAACAACATTGATCATTGTACGCATTGGCGCCAGAATGGAACACATTGCCTGCCTAACAAGTACTTGATTTTTGAACTACTACTCAGTGCTTTTCTCAAGATTACGGATTCTTCCAAATCAACAAGTCACAGAATTGTGTCTTATTTTCTTATACGAACAGTTGTACCATTAGTACATTATTCCTGTCATCTGAGTTGAGATAAACTCCAATGTCCCTGGCATTCTTGAAGGTGTTAAGTCTAGTTCAAAACAGCCCAATAGAAAATTCAAAAACCAACATCATAGGCGAACCCAGACCAAGTCATGGAGTTAAACTACTTTTTGTTTTATTTCATCACTCTGTATTTTCTTCTCTGCATTTGGATAAGTAAGCATCCCATTAAACATTTCTCTTTTTTTTGAGATGGAGTCTCGCTCTGTCACCCAGGCTGGAGTGCAGTGATGCGATCTCCTCTCACTGCAACCTCTGCCTTCTGGGTTCAAGTGATTCTCCTGCTTCAGCCTCCCAAGTAGTTGGGATTATAGGTGTGTGCCACCACATCAGCTAATTTTTGTATTTTCAGTAGAGATGGGGTTTCACCATGTTGGCCAGGCTGGTCTTGAACTCCCAACCTCCAGTGATCTGCCTGCCTCGGCCTCCCAAAGTGCTGGGAGTATAGGCATAAGCCACGATGCCTGGCCCGTTAAACATTTCTTTTAAAACATTTTAATTGTTTATATCTTTTTATCTTTTCTATGTCGCTTTTGAATAATAAGCATGCACTCGTTGCTAAATTCTAAGCTATTTTATTTAAATAAAAAATGTAGAATGACTTCATTCATTTCACACTAAAATCTAAGCATTTAGAGATGACAAACTCTACAAAGAGTTCTGTTTTGTTTAAACATGTCCTCTTTCTGCGTGGCTATAAAATTTGAGTCCCTAAAATTATAGAAGTCAGATGATTAAAATATCAGAGGGAGAAATTAATTTATTTCTAAGTCACTTCTATGCCCGTGGCTTAATATTTGGTTTTGAATACATCTTTAATTAATTATTTTTGGAAAAGTTTTGGTCTTCTCTAGTTGCTAAAACAGGCTATACTTAAATACTAAAGATGAACATGAGATTTTTATATTTTCTCTCCCACTTAGCAATAAATACCTCTATCAAGTAACAGTAAAATTATAGCTTTATAATTTTCTGTATGCATTATATTAGTTTAATTCTTTTTATATTTTATTAATGAGGGAAGAAATGGGTAATGTAATAATACTTTGCAGTGTTTTACAGTTATGCAGAAAAGTAAAATTAAGGGAGTTTTAATTAACTGCGTACATGTATTCACATCAAATTGTGTTATAAAGATTGTTTCCAAAAGATGGAAAAGAATTCCACCAGCTGTTTGCTCTCCTATGACAAATGGGACCGGTGTATGCATGGTGGCAGTAATTTATGTAATTGTCACATAGCAGACTGGTTTCATAAATTGACTATTGGTTTCATAAATAGACCAGAAAGAGTTTGGAATATTTTGTTACTATTTGTCATAAAAGCCCTTTGGAAACACAGCTTCTTATTCAAGTAGGATCATTTATATATATACAGGCCATCAAGTTAAAAACAAAAAAGAAAAGAAAAGAAAGGAAGAGAGGTAGGGAGGAGGAAATGAGGGGGAAGAGAGACAGAAAGAGAAAGAAAGATGAAAGAAAGAAAGAAATTTTTTTTAATGTAAATCATTGATTTGTGAAAACCTTCTCTAAATAGTTTTTTTTTCCCCAAGGTCACTGACTATATATATATATATTTTATTACACTTTAAGTTCTAGGGTACATGTGCACAATGTGCAGGTTTGTTACATCTGTATACATGTGCCATATTGGTGTGCTGCACCCATTAACTCGTCATTTACATTAGGTATATTTCCTAATGCTATCCCTCCCCCCTCCCCTCACCCCACAACAGGCCCCGGTGTGTGATGTTCCCTTTCCTGTGTCCAAATGTTCTCATTGTTCAGTTCCCACCTATGAGTGAGAATATGTGGTGTTTGGTTTTTTGTCCTTGTGATAGTTTGCTGAGAATGATGGTTTCCATGTGCATCCATGTGCCTACAAAGGACATGAACTCATCATTTTTTATGGCTGCATAGTATTCCATGGTGTATATGTGCCACATTTTCTTAATCCAGTCTATCATTGTTGGACATCTGGGTTGGTTCCAAGTCTTTGCTATTGTGAGTAGTGCCACAATAAACATATGTGTGCATGTGTCTTTATAGCAGCATGATTTACAATCCTTTGGGTAAATAGCATTTTAGGTTAGCGATGTTGGTATAGAAATCTAGCAAAGCTCAAAGCTCAATTTTTGTTTTTATTGTAAATTTAGTTGTAAATATTGGACAACTTACCTAAATGTATTATGATACAGACAAGCTTAGGAAATTTAATCACCGTTTAAATCCAACTTACTATATTCTAGTATGCCATCTCCAAGAGGAAAGTCCAATATTTCGCATTGCAAAATAATGATCAGATTCAATGAACATACTTGATTCATCTTTCAACCTCACTAGTAATTTATCAATAAATTATGGTTTATTCATTCATGCCTTCACTGAGCATATATTTATTGAGAACTCACTATGTACCAGGCATACCTTGCTCTTGTAGAGGTTACATTTTCTTTGGGGGAAATGATTATGTAATGAAATGAAAGAATTGGTATCAGTGTTCTTACAGGAGGAAGGGTTGCTATTCCACAGATATACTGTTTCTACTGAATTTATGCAGCAAATTAAAGAGATTCAAACTTAATCAGTTGTCACATTATTTTTACATAAGAATCTGGTTTTAAAGATTTTTATTATATTTAAAAAAATTTATATACTATATATGAAAATTAAATAAAACTTTGGGATTTCAGATTTTGACATAACTACATTATAAATCTCTATTTTTAGGCTGGTACAGTGGCTTGTGCCTGTAATCCCAACACTTTGGGAGGCTGAGGGCGGTGGATCACAAGGTCAGGAGTTCAAGACTAGCCTGGCCAACATAGTGAAACCCCATCTCTACCAAAAATACAAAAATTAGCTGGGCATGGTGGCGCGTTCCTGTAATCCCAGCTACTTGGGAGACTGAGGCAGGAGAACTGCTTGAACGGGGACCCGGGAAGCGGAGGTTGTAGTGAGCTGAGATCGAGACACTGCACTCTAGCCTGGACTACAGAGTGAGACTCTGTCAAAACAAACAGACAAACAAACAAAAAAACCCAAAAATGCCTTTACTTTTTCTAAAATGATATTGAAAATTTAATATATGTTAATATTACATATTAATAAGGTATTTTTAGAATTTTCTCTGGAGTTATGAATATTCACTTTAAAATATAATTTTCTTTATCCTACGTTATAATTCAGCTTTTTTAAAAAAAACTCTTAAATATAGATTTAAAAGCTATTAATTTAAGTTTCCATTGGAATCAAGCAGGATAATTTAACAGGAAGGCAAGAAACAAGTTATGAGTTGATAAATTAGAAAACCAGGTTTCAGTATTCATTGTAATTTGTGATTATAATGGGAGCTTTCAGATGAGATTTAAGTGTCTCATGATATTTTATAGAGTCTCTAAATCAGTGGATTCTGAGCTGGTTTTAATTTACAGCAATAAGGTTTTAATTTAATAATGATAATCTTTAGCAATGCATGCAGGAATTATTTATGTTACCAACTTTATTATGCTGACATTTTAAAAACTGTATAATTTTAATATCAGCATTAAATTGTCCTCATATTGCTGAAGTATTTTCTTTTGAAAAATACTTCACATTCTAAAATGAATACTAAACACACAGATAATTTAGCAACAATCGTAGTCGTTTTTATTGTTTCATTCTGATGTGTCTGTGGTGTTACTCTGTTAATTCAGGCTGCAAAGTGCTGAATGTGCCTGTTAATGTTTAAAAATAATAGTTAACTAGAGAAAGGTATGCCTTTATATACGGTATATGAAAATTCAATAAAACTTTAGGATTTCAGATTTCAAGATTGTTTTGAAATTTAACTGCTTCTTTCACAAATCAACCTTGGCTTGCTTCAAAATCAACACATACGATTTATCAGCATTTTACGTGCTAATTAACGTCCTGGAGGCTTGGTAATGTATGCTGTTGCCTTACTGATATTACACTAAATAAGATTTATTCATACAAAGTTGATTATTTCTTGACTGGAATATACTGAAACAGCATTTCTGGATTTCTGTGAGTACGTTTTCTTTTGTCTGACGCTTAGATCTGCTAATGCTGAGTGCTGAAGACATCCAAGCACGCTGCTTGTGGCCGTCACGTCTGGAAAATCAGAGATAGAGATAGCAACATTGAAAAATTTCAAGTTGGCAATGCATGAGCAGAGGTGAGCAGAATTTGGGCTTCATGACACCATAGCATGGAGATTACTATGTTGACTCATGAAAACCAACATTGTGGTGAGTGAGATTTTTTGTTGTTTTGTTGTTTGCTTGTTTTTCTCTCAGTGGGAGGAAAATATGGGCTTCTTCCTCCATTGTAAAAAGAAAACTTATACTATATTTTATGACTGAGTTGGTAAAAAGATAAGTTACTATCCTATATTCAAACATTTCTTTGACTTAAAAGTTCAATTTTATTCTCTGATTTTTTTAAATTTTAAATTAAAAAAATTTTCCTCTGATTTTAGAAAACATCGAAACATTTTCATAAGTCCTTGTATCTCATGGATAAGCTAGACATGGGATCCAGGAATGGGTTTTCCCATGAGTTTTCCAGGTGATTCTGATGAATGGCTGGCAAAAGTCGAAGAGCCTTTGTCTTACCTGGAAGTAGGAGGCTATAGCATTCACAGATTAGGAACATTCGAGTTTTTACACTTGCATGTCTCATCCCTTTTCTCATGGCCAGCATAAAGGATCTTTTCATGAGGCATCTTGAGCAGATCTAGGAACCCTCACAATGACTCAAGAGACTTAGAGAGGACATTGATGGATTTAAGTGTTCTCTATGTGGATGTCCTGCTTCTCTTTCTTTCAGTAATTCTCTCAAACAAAATGGCCCTTAACCCAGAAAAGACATGAGGTTCAAACGCTCATTTCCTGTAAACACTGGTAATAACAGATGAAGACCCAGGAGTTCATGACAAGGTGATTTAATTCATCATCCAAAATGAAGCACAAAGACGCCAACCATTTTTTCCTTAAGATGATGGTGATTGAATATCTGACTGCACTACTGAAGAAAATCACAAACTGGCTTGTTCAGGAAAACTCTAAGCCAATAATATACATCTTTATGCATCTGTGCTGCCTTCAGTTGTTTCTTATCTGAAGCTTAAGAAACCAAAAACAATTTTGGAGTTCTCATCGGGTCTATGATACAGTTAAATCACATTCTTAGAATCTTTCCTCTGATAACCATGTGACCTCATTAACAAAAAATAAATACCCACCCATTTTACAATTTAGAGAGTTTCTCTTTATTTCCATTATATTGAAATTCTAAAACATTTAACAATAAGGTGTGTCATGTTAGTTACATGCACAACCATTGGCAGATGTTCTGTATGGAAGGATCCAGGGATACATTCAAAATCTCTTTAAAAAAATTTTATTTTAGGTTTGGGGGTATACGTGAAGGTTTGTTACATAGATATACACATGTCATGGGGGTTTGTTGTACAGATTATTACATCACCCGGGTATTAAACTCAGTACCCAATAGTTATCTTTTCTGCTCCTCTCCCTCCTCCTACCCACCCCCTTCAGGTAGATCCCAGTGTCTGTTGTTTCTTCCAGGGTTTTTGTAGTTTTGGGTTTTACATTTAAGTGTTTAATCCATCTTGAGTTGATTTTTGTGTACGGTGTAACGAAGGGGTCCAGCTTCAATCTTCTGCATATGGCTAGCCAGTTATGCCAGCACCACTTATTGAATAAGGAGTGTTTTCCCTATTGCTTGTTTTTGTAAGCAAAGATTTCAAAAGTAATGCAACATCTATTACTGTGTAATAAATTTATCTCTTTCGACCACATACCATAAAAATCTAGATAGGCTTTCATTCATGTGCATGTACAGAAAAGTTAAATGTGTATACTCATTAGTCCAATTTAAATATTGAAGAGTGCCACACTGGGTTGCAACTACATCTGATATTTTGGAATCCTGGAAAGGGAGTCCCTTTAAGGAAGTAAATGGCTTGGATACTTCATTAAGCCTTTTGTGTTCAACAAGCATTCCAAATTGTGCTTAGTTTTGCCATTGGTCGAATGTGAAAGAAGCTCTGTGCCTAAACACACGACATTTTATAATTGCCATGAATCCAAATTATTGAGCTTCAGTAACTCTATTTGTACCTAAAAGAGAAACAATTTTTTAAGGAACATAATATGTAGACACAGATAAATTGGCCAGTTTATGAGAAGCCTGAATGTTACAGGTGCATAGATGAATTAGCTTTTCTCTGGCCACACCTCTAACTGGATCTGGTTGAATAATTCATTCCCATCCCATAAAGACCTGGCCTGAGTGGCCTGGCATGATGGCACATGCCTGTAATCCCAGAACTTTGAGAGGCCAAGATGGGTGGATCAAGGGGGATAGGAGTTCAAGACAAGCCTGGCCAGCATTGTGAAACCCCGTCTCCACTAAAAATACAAAAATTAGCCAGGTGTGCTGGTGCATGCCTGTAATCCCAGCTATGCAGGAGGCTGAGGCAGGAGAATCGCTTGAACCTGGGAGGGTTTTCAACTTTACAGAGTTTTAACATTTCATCTTTAATTTTATCAGTTGCTTTATTAGTGTTTTTTTTTTTTTTTTTTTTTTTTTTTTTGACAGAATGTGGCTCTGTCACCCAGGCTGGAGTGTATTGGCACAATCATGGCTCACTGCAGCTTCGACCTGATGGATGCCAGTGATCCTCTTGCCTCTCCTCCAGAGTAGCTAAGCCAGCTACTGGGACTATAGGACTACTTGGTACTACAGGTGCATGCCACCATGCCCAGCTAATTTTTTGTATTTTGGGCAGAGACAGAATTTCCCTACATTGTCCAGGCTTGTCTCAAACTCCTGGGCTTAAGTGATTGGTCTACCTCGAACCGCCAAAGTATTCAGATTACAGGTATGAGCCACTGTGCCCAGCCAGTTTCTAACATGATAGTCATGTGTTGTTCTTCACAATTGTGTTGATAGAATCGTGTATTTAAATGAAGCACATGATTTCCAGTAATACCCTCTATTTGGACAATATCGTATTGCTTTATCAGCATATTGTTGATGGTGATTTATTAAAATGTATTCAGGAATATATATTAGTTACTGATCTGTAGTTCTTTTATTGTTATCTTGATTGGGGTTTGGTAGTAATTTATAATGATTTAATTAAATGGATCAGGGAACTCTCCTTTAAATAGAATTAATATTATCTGGTTTTGTGTACTTGTAGAGTAAAGGAATCATGTATAATTTAGCTTTGATACTCTAGTTGTGAAACACTTTGCAATGAAAATCAATAAAAAATATTGAAAATCGTTTGTGTTAATTGGTAGTTATAATCCTCCTTCTACATTGTGTCAAAACTCTTCTTTATTTGTGCTTCTTTTTTCTTTTTATTTCTAACACCTTACTACTTTGTCCACTTTCTCCTTATTCCTGAGTCTGTATTGATGTGATTTCCCTGATTTTTTTTCGAAGAACCAGCATTTGTACTTATACATAATTGCTACTATTTCTTATTTTCTGTACAATGTTTTGTCATTGTTACCTGAACCAATACTGCTTTCCCACAACCTTATTTTATAATTTTTAAAGTGACTATATCATTCCTCATGTTCAAAAATTGTCTTTAATAAAATATCGTTCATAACATTTGCATATGCATAATCTCATTTTAGTGTAGATGTGACCGTGTATTTTAGCATTCAGTGTGAATTATGCAACTTTGTATTCTAACACTCAGAGGAGTTTATTGTAAGCACTTTGATCCAATGAATATTTAGGAAAATGTTGCTTAATTTGTAAGCAGTGAAGACCTTGACGGTCTTTTATTGTTATATTCTAGTATGATAATTTAAGCTTAATAAATATATCATATTTGCATTTAATAATTTTATAATCTTTCATACAAACTTCTTTCACACATATTCTATAGATGTAAAATAACTAGGAACAGTTTTCCTTTTTATTTGTTCATATGCATGTTTGTTGTATTACAAACCTACTTACCTTTTCCTTTCGCTTACTTCAAAATTGGCTTCTGTTCAAAACCAGGGAAAGAACCAAATATAACTCTTAATCTTAGGCAAAAAATAAACCCTCTTTTTTTTAGAGTTTGTGTTTGTTCCAGAAAAATTAGTGTTTTTAGAATCAAACTTCATGTTACAGCACTAAGATAATTTCATATAAGCCATAGTATAGTTATTCATTTTATATTTCTTGTAAACATTTAACCGTTTGTTTCAAGAGTTGGTATTTTGTTGATCCGTATTTTTAAAACTTAGACATATTTAAATACTTATAAATGCCCAAGCCTGTGGTTTGAAATAGGAAGTAGAAGAAGTGAGTAGGACATCAGAGTTTATTCAAGAACATCAAAGTTTATCCAAAGGATAGAATAAAAAAACACTACATACCATGATTCAGACATTGATGAATATGTTGAAGGGGTTCTATTTTAAAATACTGTTTGGCTGGGTATGGTGGCTCATCCCTGTAATCCCAACACTTTAGGAGGCTGAGGCCGGCAGATTACTTGAGCCCAGGAGTTTGAGACCAGTCTGGGCAACATGGCAAAACCCCATCTCTACAAAAAATATTAAAATTAGCTGGGTGTGGCGGTACATGCCTACTTGAGAGGCTGAGGCTGGAGGATTGCTT